>NC_000009.12:37585757-37737272 GCF_000001405.40 Homo sapiens | reverse complement strand
CCTTATTGGGGCAAGACTCAGTGCCTCACCTTCTTCTGCAGATACCCGGTGCGCTTGTTGTTTGTTTCCAGGCCAGAGGAAAATGGAGGTAACTGGGTCAACCAACAGCCTGTAGTACCCAGCAATCAGGCAGGCTAGGTCTTTTGCACTGTTGGATTCCAGCAGCAAAGTCAGAACCTTTGAAAGCAAATAGAAATCTCATGTTTATCAAGGACCAAGGGACAGTCTGAAGACTGACAACAAAGCCATGTGGGACCAACGAGAGATTCCAGGTAAATCCGGCCATGGTCCACAGGTAGGTCTCCTGGTGCCCCATATCCTCACTTGCAAGGCTTTAAATGAGGACATGCATGTACTCGTACAGACACCATCGCGTGTGTGTGTGCGCACACATACACACACACACACACACACTCTCACGCACTCACACACTCACTCACACACAGTGGGTCCTTCCCACCCAATCTATACAGTGTCTTCTGACTCCTCATCCTCTACCCCAGCGCCATATCCAAACTGCCCCATCCCACCCTGTTCATTCCTGCAGAGGGACTTGCAAGACTGAACTTAAAAAAGAAAAAGGAGCAAGAACATGTGGAGAATGAGGGAGAGGGTGATAAGAATAAAGCACCAATATTGAGTATGTTGGGATTAAATCAAAGGAGGGCAGAATAAAAGTAAGACCTTTGAGAGAGGCTCAGGAGGTACCCTGCACTAGTTACCTTTTTTTTTTTTTTTTTTGAGACAGAGTTTTGCTCTTGTCACCAGGCTGGAGTGCAATGGTGCAATCTTTTGCTCACTGCAACCTCTGCCTCCTGGGTTTAAGTGATTCTCCTGCCTCAGCCTCCCAAGTAGCTGGGATTACAAGCGTGAGCCACCACACCGGGCCCACTATTTACCCATTTTAATGCCCACCACTCAAAGCTTTTGAGCAGCAATCTGGTCCCATTCATGTGATAAAATCCTCTGGTGGGCCGGGCGCGGTGGCTCACGCCTGTAATCCCAGCACTTTGGGAGGCCAAGGCGGGTGGATCACGAGGTCAGGAGATCGAGACCATCCTGGCTAACACAGTGAAACCCCATCTCTACGAAAAAATACAAAACATTAGCCGGGCATGGTGGTGGGCGCCTGTAGTCCCAGCTACTTGGGAGGCTGAGGCAGAAGAATGGTGTGAACCCACGAGGCGGAGCTTGCAGTGAGCCAAGATCGTGTCACTGCCCTCCAGCCTGGGCAACAGAGTGAGACTCTGTCTCAAAAAAAAAAAAAAATCCTCTGGTGTTCTCCATCTACGTTTCTAAATCCAACAGGAAAGCACATGGTCCATCTCAGTTTGTGCAAAAAAACCTTTTAGGACCTCTTCAGGAAAATTTACCATTTACCACTTTCCGTTTGATAGAACAGGATGGACAATTCGTCCTCTTAAGCAGATATTGGACATTAGACTTTATTATTATTTAAAATTCATATAAACTAGCCTGGCCCCTATTTGGCCCCAAATTCCAGCAGTTGAATTCAGAATCTCTCCCCATTGTGTTACCTTGACGTCCTGAAGATACACTTTGACGACGCTCACTTTCTCAGACTCTTCCGTTAGCTCTACACGGCTGATGTTTGCAAACTCTGCCAATGTGGACATGATGTTGAGTTTGCTATTGATAACCTGGCTAATCCCATACTTGGCTCCAACTAGAAGGGCAATGTAGGATTCTCTATCCTGTAACTGCAGAGGGTGGAAGGGGAATTAGTCTCCATTCGCAAGCGAGTGAAAATACATTTCACATGTAAGCAATAATACCTCTCGCTGCAAACTCCTTGATTCCTACTTTGGATCCTAACCACCACTCCTCCAGACTATTGCCTAACTTGGACCCCATCAACAGCTAAATCAAAGTGTAAATTTATTTCCCCAAAACTCTTTCCAATATAGCCCTGAGCCACAGCCATAAACACATCTGTATTTTCACACCTATGTACCTATCTTCCTGCTCTTTGAATCCCTTCCCTGCCATCATTTCCCATTTAAATCCTGATCCTTCTTTAAAAGCTTACATCAAAACCTACTGCCTATGGAAAGCATCTGCCTGATCTCAGCCTCCTTAAGCCAGAAATCTCCCTTTCCTCTCTGTTGTTCTGTACCACTTCCTCTTACTTCTCTACTAGCACTGAACACTTATGACTTCTTATTTTAATTATTTGTATTAAGTCTCATTTTCCACATTAAGTTTCTTGACAACAGAGTCTGCATTTATCTCTATTTGTAACCCGCAGTGCCCAGCAAGCACCCTGAACCTGTTCCATGTAGCTGGTTGCTTCTCCCACTACCAGTTCTTTCCTTAGACAAGAAAGGTAAAGGGAGACTGGGGACTGGAACTGGACAGCTGGGAGAGGGTAGAATTAGCCCTTAGAAAAATTGGGAAGTTTTTCTTGTACCTTCAAAACTTTCCTTTCTGTGATCTAGTCTCTTTCCCACCTTTTGGGTCTTCTACTTAAACGAAGAATCCATCTGTGTTTCCCCTTCCCCTAACTATCTGATGCTCTTCCTTTCTTTCAAAACACTGATTCTCTTCTTCCATCTACATTGTTAGGTTAGCAGTCTGATTACATTGGCCCATCACTGTAAATGACTGAGATGCATACCAAATCTTTTGAAAGGATTTTGGTTAATATTTTTTTAAAACCCCACTCTAATTGTAAATTGGTTTTGTGCTGCAGAGTCCTGGGGCTGACAGTGCTGGAGGAAAGCTCTCTGAAACCATACCCCCGAGACACTGACTGCTGAAAGGCACAAGCTCTAGGCCTAGGCTCCAAAAAGAAGCAGGCAGGAGAATGGGAAGAGAGCAGAGGGCTTTTCTGCTTCTCGTTTCTCTTCTCAGGCCCACCCCTCATTCCTCCCTTCTGAACAATCAGAGACTCAGCTTGGCAGTCAAACACTCTTATTTTTCTTTCATGATTTCCAATTTTCCTCTTCACCTTCATATACCCAAAGCTCCAGAGTGAACTGCTTACCATCCCCTTCTGACCCAGAATGCCTTTTCCTCTCTACTGAAGTCTGGCCAAATTCAGGCTTCCTCTTGCCTCTTTCCTTAACCCCTTCTCCTCCCTATACTTACCCTGAAGCAAGCAGTGCTACCTTCTGTCTCCAAACTCCACAGCAATAGGCCTGAACCTGTCTCATGGCTTTGCTTCATTTTGTTGGGTAGCTTGTTTCATCCTTCAAGGACGGAAATCACATCTTATTCAGCCCTGCTTCCCCTAGCATCTATCACAGGGGTAGCACCAAGCAAACGCGTGGTAAATATTTTCCAGTGGTGTACTATTTAGTTTACCAGACAAATTCTAGTACATGACAGAGTCCTCAGGAATTTTAGGCTAAAAGACACATTGATTTTCAGAGGATCTCTAAGGTCCCTTACGTGAGTAGGATTTCACAGTTCTCTAATACATACCATTAAAGTAGCATTAAAGATTCTTCCACCATATGTCTTGAGTTCTCCGAGGATCTGTAGATAATTTAAACGTAGCTGGGCAGCAGAAATAAGTTGCTTAATAGAGAAAAAAAAACACTTGAAGTCAGAGTTATTCATTGGTCTAAAATCCAGGCAGTGTTGAAAATGTTTTTCCTAAGGTTTCACAGACGACAGCTGAGTGGGTCGGCAGAGGCACCTTCATTACCTTCTGTCGGGGTTCCAGCAAATTCTGGTTCCTCTTCATGTGGAAGCTAATGGCTTTCTTGATGTCTTTGCCTTTCATGTTTCGGAGTAAAGTTGGAGATATAAAGTTCTCTATTCCCCAGTCTTTCCTGCCATGAGACATTGGAGACAAGGAGGCCCATTTCTACAGGGTACTTGGCTCTAATGAAGAGCATAATTACATTTGATTCAGTACTTAGTGTTCCCATAATACAGCAATTACGAGCCACTTTCTCCTCCTCTCTTTTTCTTTCTCACACACACATACACACACTCTCCACAAAAATCCCCACAGGCATTCAGGAACTAAACCCCATTGATCATTCTGGGAGCTCATTACTCTTGGTGTGGTGTGACCATCTATCAGTCAGAGCAGGAGTTCTGAATCTTTTTCACTACAAAATACATGGCAAATAATGACAGCATACAAGAGAGTACAAGACACTCTCATGGGGCAACGCAGAGCTCCTGTGAATCCCCTAGGCTAAGCTTCAGCATGGTGCCAGCCTAGCAGCTTCAAAATCCCCCAGAAAATTGCTAAAACTACAGATTCTCAGGCCCTGCTGCGAGAGATTGGACTTAGTACATCAGGGGTAGGGCCAAGGATATGCTGTATTTTTAAAAATATGATTCCCCATCTGATTCTGATGCTCAGGCAGGACAGAGCTGAGATCTGGGGAGGGGCTTAGCAAACCTGAGTGATGCTGTCCAGAACAATTCTAAGCTAAGAATCAGAAGGTGCTGGAATCGTAGGACTTGAAACTGCTCTAGTGGAGACATAATGCAATAGGAACTGGTTCATATCCACGGGAAAAATTAACTTCCAAGGCATTCCCACCCCTAGAAAAGCTTAACACTGATGCTGGCAACTGATTTCCCAAGACATCTTCCCAGGAACAGGCAATTTACAAGGGAATCCTGTGACATTCCATCTGGAGTTGGCTTCTGTCCCAGAGAGAGCAGCCAGGTTCAGACATCTGGGGGAGCCAGGTCAGATTAGAGAGGGTGCAGAGGGAAATGGATGGAAAGACAACAGACAGATGGGTAGGTGGGTGACTATCAGCTTTCTGTGGCATCTGGCCCTCCTGGCCAGGGGCCAGCAAGTTATAAATGCAATGCAGCTGCCATCCCCTGCCACTCACTCTATATACTTTAAAGAGATCTTCTGTGGCTGGGCACAGGCGTAGATCCGTTCCTGGATGTGCAGAGCCGCGAGTCGGAGTGCAGAGCTACATTTCATTTCTACAGCAAAGCGCTCCTGGAGCACATCGCTGCAGCTCTAGAAGAGATTAAATAGAGCAGATGGGAAACAAAAGCAGACATACTGTGTCCCCTCGTTCTCTCGGGTGAAAGGCAGCAGGACCAGGAGCTCCGCTTTGAGAGCTGGCTCTGACAGTTCTTGGCTGTGTGACCTTGGTTAAGTTACCAAGACTCTCCAAGCATTTGGTGTCTGGTAAATGAGGATAGTAAAATCTACCTTATGTGGTTTCTGTGAGACTTAAATTAGATAATGCATATGAAAGCAGGTATAAGGCACACAGTGTTATACAAATATAAAGTATTGATGGCGTTGTTATTGCTATTATTATTATTTTCTGCCACCATTTCTGTAAGACTTGGGGCAGTCCAATCCACCTAGTCTGAGTTATCTCATCTGTAAAATGGTGATATCTGCCAAATGATTCTTTTTCTTTTTTTTTTTCTTTTCTGGAGACAGAATCCCGCTCTGTCACCCAGGCTGGAGTGCAGTGGCATGATCTTGGCTCAATGCAAACACCACCTCCAAGGTTCAAGTGATTCTCCTGCCACAGCCTCTCAAGCAGCTGGAACTGTAGGTGTGTGCCACCACGGCTGGCTAATTTTTTGTATTTTTGGTAGAGACGGGGTTTCACCATGTTGGCCAAGCTGTTCTCAAACTCCTGACCTCAAGTGGTCCACCTGCCTCGGCCTCCTAAAATGCTGACATTACAGGCGTGAGCTACCGCACCCGGCTCCAAATGATTATTTTTCATCAGAATAAAAATGGCATCATAACTCTCATCTAAGGAGGTAGAATAGGGGGAGCACCAGGCCACGGATCAAGAACCAGGTTTTGGCTCTGCCACTAAGTGAGTGACCCAGGCAAATCACACGACCTTTCCAAGACTCAGTGTCATCATTCTAAAACGAGGTTTTAAAGCACTAAGGCCCCTTTTGGCAATAAAAACTGTAATTCTAAAGATCCTAAAATGGTATTAGAAAATGTATCATCTACATTGAGGACTGAGCCTGAATTTCATTCTGATATCGCACACCTGCTAAAACAGCAACTCAGTGATGGAAAAGGGAATTCTGAGCGATGATCAGGCCCATTCTCCTTCAGATAAAGAGAATCCCTACCAGGGAGTTGTTTAATGGCCTCGAGCTCACGTTCAAAATCACCCAGTGCACCATCTTTGAGAACAACCACTGTTATTTTAGGAAGCACAGACCCAGTCACCTGCAGATAGAGGTATTCAAAGGCCACGGGGTCTTCTTTCAGGAGGTCCAGGGGGTCCTTGGGAACAAAACAGACCCTGAAGAGGCAGCGGTAGTCATGTGACTCCTCCCTTTCTACCACCTGCGATGGGTAAGGGAGATACTATTAATCTCCTAACTGCCTTTGTCCTTGCAGTCATTCCACAAAACCACTCTATAAAACACAGACAGTGAAAGACAGTTCCCAGAGATTTCAATTCTAGTGCTTCCCAAGACAGCCATAGACCTTTACTCCTAATTTGACTTTCTTTTTCCTGGGTACAAAATGTAAAAGGTTCAAAAGGGCAGCATTTCCCACTCACCTATCTTCCAGTTTCCCTTTCCAGAGGAAACTCCTGTTTTCAGTTTCTTGTGTGCCCCTTCCAGAGACAGTTTATGTATATTCATGCTTCAGTATAAGTCTATTCTTTTATCTTCCACAAATAATAATATAGTATACATACCATTCTACAACTTACTTTATTTCACTTAAACTATCTTAGGGATTTAATGTGATTTTCTTTCCCAATGCAAATGGAATAGAAGTAATTAAAAAGTCTGCAAGCAGTAAACCTTCTAATCGGTGAGTGCATTGGGTAAGAATTCATCTGCAAAGAGGAATGTTCAGGGTGGCTTTTATGAGGTTATGTATTACTCATTTCCAACTGTTAAAATCCTCCTCATCTTTGTAACAGACTCACAAAGATTTGTTGAACTAACCTGTGTTTAGCTTTAAAAAGTTGGTACAACATATTATTGAATGGTTGGGAGATTGAGTGATATAGACCGTTTGGCTGTGTTTACCCTATTCTGCCATCAGGAACCATATCGGGGGTAAGTCCCACAAGAAGGGCTTAGACACAGCAACAAATGCTTCCCTAATGGCTCAAAGGCAGCAGGTGCAAGGGAAGATCATCAGAGCTAGAAGCAAAAGATCAGGGTTCTATCAGCTGTGTTACCTTGAGAAAGTCACCTTACCTCTCTAAGCCTTTGTCTCCACATCTGCAAAATGGGGACCTTAAATCTGTGTCCTGCCTACCTCATACTAGCAGATGAAAATCAGGCTGATTCTTGTCCCATAACCCCCAGGCTGAGTGAGCTCTGTGCCTTCTGGGGCAAGAGAAAGTGCATCAAACCTGCAGATGTGCTGAGCCCTGTCCCCAGAGGTTCTGGCTGAGGTATGCAGCCAGCCCAGCCCATGCCTCCCAGGAACAGGCGGTCAGTCCTCCCTACCTGCTGGATGAGTTCCTCTTCGTGCAGCAGGTGCAGCCGGGAGATGCTGTACTGCTCTTCCAGGGCCAGTGCAAAGTACTCGATACTTCGGATGGACAGCTTCTCCTTCACGGTGAGGATGATGTCCTAGCAGGCACAGAGAGGTGCAGGAGTTACGCAAGAAACAGGAAGGACTTCCCTGGCCTTCCTGCCATTCCTCAGTGCAGCTAGGGAGAGAAAAGCCTGCACTGACATGCCCACTGCTGACTTACGCCAGAGTCTGGTCCCACTCATCAGGCCCCTTACGGCCCTGCAGCCACAGCTCCCCTCTCCTCAAGCTCCATCACCATCCATACAGCCACCCTGTCTTGCTTTACTTGGAAGGCTGAAGCCATCCAGTGGAGGTTTCTGCCTCTCTCCTATGTCCCTAGACTTATTCTCTCTCTAGAGTTCCCAGTCTCTATCTTTTTTTTTTTTTTTTTTTTTTTTTTTGAGAGGGTCTCCCAGGCTGTCACCCAGGCTGGAGTGCAGTGGCGTGATCTTGGCTCACTACAACCCTTGCCTCCTGGGTTCAAGCAATTCTCCTGCTTCAGCCTCTCGAGTAGCTGGGATTATAGGCACATGCCACCATGCCTGGCTAATTTTTGTATTTTTAGTAGAGATGGGGTTTTGGAATGTTGGCCAGGCTGGTCTTGAACTCCTGACCTCAAGTGATCTGCCTGCCTTGGCCTCCAAAAGAGCTGGAATTATAGGCGTTTGCCACCACACACAGCTAGTTTTTTTGTATTTTTAGTACAGACGGGGTTTTGCCACGTTGGCCAGGCTCCCAGTCTGTATCTTTGACTGCTTACTAGACAGAATCCCACCACCCACTCACTATGCAACTGAGTGAAACTTTTTTTTTTTTTTTTTGAGACGGAATCTCGCTCTGTCGCCCAGGCTGGAGTGCAATGCTGTGATCTCAGCTCACTGCAACCGCCGCCACCTGGGTTCAAGCAATTCTCATGTCTCAGCCTCCCAAGTAGCTGGGATTACAGGTGTGCGCCACCACGCCCAGCTAATTTTTGTATTTTTAGTAGAGATGGAGTTTCACCATGTTGGTCATACTGGTCTCGAACTCCCGACCTCAGGTGATCTGCCAGTCTCAGCCTCCCAAAGTGCTGGGATTACAGGAATGAGCCACCACGTCCAGCCACAACTGAGGGACACTTTTGAACCCCAGTCACTTCCTCTCCAAATAGAGGACAATAATGCGTAATTCTGAGAGTGGCTGACAGGACGGAATGGTTGTGAATGCTGCGCTGAGGCATCCTGGTTGCCACGCCACACTCTTCTTGCTCACTAGAGCAGCCCTCTGTGAGGTCTTTGCTGCCTCGAAGCATTCGCACATGCTGTTCCCTCTGCCCAGTATACTTTCCCCATTACTCTTTCCAGGTCTGTTTCTTTCTCTTCCTTCGAGTTTCAGTCCAAATGTCACCTCTTAGAGAGGCTTTCTCTGGCCAGCATACATAATCATCCCTGTTACTCTCTGTCCCAGTGTCCTGTTTATTTCCCTCACCATTATTTAATATTATTTTCTTCAATTAACAGCCATGGTAAAGTTAAGGGAATGGGTTCTAGACCTCCATTCCCAATTCCTAGCTGTAATTGCTTCTTCTCTCTATGCCTCAGTGTTTTCATCTGTAGAATGGGAATAATATTAACACCTATCTCATAGAGTTGTTGTGTACATTGAATTGATTTCCCCATAGAAGGCACTTAGAACAGCACCTGGCAGATGGTAAGTATTCAATGCATGCCAACTGCTAATCTCTGTTTTCTTGCTTATTGTCTTTCACCCCACTAGATGTTAAACTCTCTGAGGATGTGGGCCTTGCCTGTGCTGTGCTCTGTTATGCAGTATATCCAGTGCTTGGCACATAATAGATGCACACAAACTTTCACTTGGTGAGTAAACAGAAATCATAAATGTCCTGCCAGAACCTCAAACGCAGTAAGTCTCGCACCATCAGGTGCTCCTCCCTCCTCATGACTCCTGATTCGGAGCCCTCTCTCCACTTGTTCATCACCCCCCATAACTACCCAGTGACTAGTCCTGAAGGGTCCATTTCCTCCCTCCTCATGACTCCTGATTCGGAGCCCTCTCTCCACTTGTTCATCACCCCCCATAACTACCCAGTGACTAGTCCTGAAGGGTCCATTTGCTTCTGCAGCTCCACACCATTAACTGAGTGCTGCCTGTGTGCCTGGCATTGTGCTGGCCCCAATGGAAAGCCTGTCTCTTGACTCTGTCCCTTCTTCTCCATTCTCCCATGTCTACCTCAGCTTGGGCTCATGCATTTCTTGGCTTTGTAGAGGGATGTCCTGTGAACCCTCCTGCCACCCATCTGTTCTCCAACTTGCACATAGAGCAAAGGTTGGCAAACTGTAGCCTGTGGAGCAAATCCAGCCCACTGCCTGTTTTTGTAATTAAGGTTTTATGGGAATATAGCCATGCGCATTTGCTACAATGGCAGAGTTGAATAACTATGACAGAGACCCTGTGGCCTGCAAAACCTAAAATACTCACTATGTGGCCCTTTACAGAAGGTTTGCTGACTCTTGATCTAGAGGAATTTGTCTAAGCCTTGTACTGGGCATGCTCTCCCTTGCTCAAGAACGTTCAGTGGCTCTTGATGGCTCACTGGCCAAAATCCAAACTCCTTAGCTTAATATTCAAGACTCTCAAGGTATCAGGTGCCAACCCACTTCTCCCACTTTATCTTCTGCTGCTTATCCCAATGCACTCTGCCCACAAGCCCCACACACTTGTCAAACTTGCCCATTTCTGGATCTTTGTTGGTGTTGTTCGCCGTGCCCGGATGTTGCCTTCACACATCACTCTTGGCCCACTCCAGTCAAAAGCCAATCTATCTTTCTAAGTCCACCATACATGCTACCACTCCACTCCCCCAGAGGCCTTTATTTGGCACCCAGCTGGAAGCTTGCTCTCCCCTGAGCCTGTACCACACGGCTTCTGTCCCGCTTTCATGGTCTTAAGCACACCGGTACCTCGTTTCATTGTGAGTTGTCCCCAGATCTCATCTCCTCACCCTAGCCCCACCCCAAGACTTCAGGCTTCCTAAGAGTATAACCCTGGGTAATTTATTTATTTATTTATTTATATTTATTTTTTTGAGATGGAGTTTCGCTCTCATCGCCCAGGCTGGAGTGCAGTGGCATGGTCTCGGCTCACTGCAACCTCTGCCTCCCAGGTTCAAGCAATTCTCCTGCCTCAGCCTCCCAAGTAGCTGGGACTACAGGCTTGCACCACCATGCCTGGCTAATTTTTGTATTATTAGTAGAGACAGGGTTTTACCATGTTGGCCAGGCTGGTCTCAAACTCCTGACCTCAGTTGATCCACCCACTTCGGCCTCCTAAACTGCTGGGATTACAGGCATGAGCCACTGCACCCGGCCCCTGGGTAATTTATTGCCAAGTTGTTGGTGATATAGAAATGCCTGGCACACAAAAAGTGTCAATAAATGTTTACTGGGTCAAATGACATATTCTTTTTCTTGGTTTAGAGAAAGAGGGTTTTCTAATACAAGAACTTTTCTTCCCTTAGTGAGGGAAAGGGGAAGAGAAGTCACTGATGAGTGGACAGTAATTTTTCCTTTTTTCACTCATAAGATTTATTTATGTCCACCTTTCTCTGTGTCGTAAACAGCTAAAGACTTTGCTTTAAAAAATTTGGCTATTACAGATAAATAAGATTAACCAGTATTATACTGGCTAAGTCCTTGTTCATTTCCCCAACTCTCTCTGTCATCTTAAGTTTAATTCCCCTGTAATGTGGGCCTTTATTGTAAACTACCTCAAAGTCCTTTTGGCCACCAAAGGGGGACTTGCTTTAAAAAAAATCAACCCTTCTATTCCAATCCACTTTGAGCAAAGATGATGAAAGTAGAACTCTTGTCTAATCCATTTGCAAAGCTTCCCTTTTCTGCAGAATGGCAGAGTGACAAGATTCCAGCACAGGATTCAAAAACAGACCAAGTTCAAAGCCAGTTATGAGCTAGCTGATCTTGACAGCTTTTGGGCCTCTTGGGCCTGTTTTCTCTTCTGCAAAGTGGGGATAACACTAGTTACTTCACAAGGTTGCTAGGGCATTAAATGAGATCGTATACAAGAAAGTGCCCAGGAAGCGTGCCTGGCATGTAGTAAACACTTAAAGTCTATTCCTCCATTGCTTCCTCCTCTGGGCTTGGAGTTCCCCAGGTTCAGAAAGCCCTTCTCCAGCTTCTTCTAACTCACATTTAGGAAGAAATAGAATAGAGCATTTGGAGCAGCTGTAGGAATTGCCAAATGAAGGTGCCAGAGAGAAGCACTGGATGTGTGCGTACAGGTGTATGTACATTGTACATATGTGTGCATGCATATGCATGTGTGTGAATGTACTGTGCAGATGTGTGTGTGCATGTGTGTCTTGGCTACTGTTTGTCCCCTATAGCTGCATTGGCCCTCCTGAACCTGCTCTCCCCTTGTACCAGAAGAGCTGGGCTCAATGTTTCCTCTTACATGGTTTTTACTGTTTGAACAACTTTGCTTCTTCACTGCGGCCTCACTCTAACACTATTTACTCCCTTGTTCAAGAACTGCTAGCACCATACGATATTATCTATGGATAAAACTCAAGCTCTATTGTTGCCTGGCATTTGAGGCCCTCCACAGCCACTCCTTCCACAAGAAAACAGCCTGTGCCCCAGTCCTGCTGGATGGTTTGCTATTTCCTGGGCAATTGCCATTTTTCTGGCTCTCTGCATTAGTTCACGTGACTCTCTGATTGATATGTACCCTACCCTCAACTGCCCTGTCCCTACTGGCCCTTGTTGAAATCTTAGTTATCCTCCAAAGCTCAGCGCAGGTCCAGCTTCTTTCCCATGCCTTGTCTGAAGTCTGGACAGGCTGGAAGAGATGGTACTCTTCCCCTTGCACTTGGCCCTTATTTCATCCTGCCTTGGACAATCAAGCATTCCCTGAACGTCCACCGTCCCTCAACTAGACTGCAAGCTCCTGAAGATCGAGACCACCCCTGACTAAGCTCAGTAACCCCTCTCAGATCATCTCATATGGGGAAACTTGTGAAGTATAAGTTCAATTGACTTTAACCAAGAACAGAATAGGCAGCGCCTGGGCCTTTCCTGACATCTCACCTGGGTTTTCGTAGTGTTTGGCGTAGCAGGTAGAGTCACAGACAAATGGCAGGGAAGCCTGGTGGTTATGGGTGAAGGCTTAGGAGTTCTAATCTGACCTTTGGGCAAGTCACTTCATCTCTCTAAGTCCCGATTCCCACCCCTTAACCCCCACCCAGTTACGATGGTGGTAAAAAGACCATCTTTCTGGGTGGTCGTGCAACGAAATGAGATAACATGGCACCTGGCTTATTATTACAGGGGCTCAGACCACGGTGTTTGTGAGACCACCAAGGCAGATGCAGGGCAAGATGCCTGGGGGGTCCTAGCAGCCAGAACATTCTTCTTGGGAAAAGAAGTTCAAGTTTATTCTTAATACCTTCACGGTTGTGTTTGCCTCAAACTTGAAAGCTTTGGTCTGTCCATTCTCCAAGTATAGCTTGAGCACGTTGGGCATACACAGCAGAGAATTACCCTGGAAAACACAAGAGTATTGTTGTATCCCTGTCTTTTTTTATTCCTTCTGGAGACAGGGTCTCTCTCTGTCACCCAGGCTGGAGAACAGTGGTACGATCTCGGCTCACTCAACCTCTGACTCCCAGGTTCAAGCGACTCTCCCACCTCAGCCTGCCAAATAGCTGGGATTACAGGCACCTGCCACCACGACTGGCTTTTATTTTTTTTTATTTTTTTTATTTTTTTTGACAGAGTCTCACTCTGTCACCCAGGCTGGAGTGCAGTGGTGCAATCTTGGCTCACTGCAACTTCCACCTCCTGGGTTCAAGCAAATTCTCCTGTCTCAGCCTCCCGAGTAGCTGAGACTACAGGCACACACCACCATGCCCAGCTAATTTTTGTATTTTTTTTTTAGTAGAGATGGGGTTTCACCATGTTGGCCAGGCTGGTCTTGAACTCCTGACCTCAGGTGATCCACCCGCCTCAGCCTCCCAAAGTGCTGGGATTACAGGCCTAAGCCACTGTGCCCAGCCTAATTTTTGTATTTTTAGTAGAGACAGGGTTTCACCATGTTGGCCAGCTGGTCTCGAACCCCTGGCCTCAAGTGATCCGCCTGACTTGGCCTCCCAAAATACTAGGATTATAGGCGTGAGCCACCATGCCTGGCCTGTTGTATCCCAGTCACAGCTTTCCTGCCCCTGGGTATGACAAATCCTTGGCTGTCTGGACCTGCCTGGTTTGGAGAGTAGGATCCTCCCTAACCTCCTCACCATGTCAGGGGTTCTTTCTTGGCACTTGGGAATTTCTTCAATGCACAGGCATGCTTTGTCAAGGGATACCCATGAGGACTGTTAGATACGACAAACGGTGGAGAAGAGTGAGCCCTTCTACGAGCGTACTGATAGCACTGCGCGAGCCTGTGCAATGTCTCATGACCATCAGCTCACGTTTTACTGCTGGCTGTACCCTTATGGGAGGCAATTTGGCAAGCCAGATGACCAGCATGCACACTGTTCAACATGGGCCTTTCAGAGATTCTTAGACTCTACCTTGTAGGATTGGGGTGGGATGGAGAGGGTAGGGAAGCCTCTCCTACCCTCATTTTATTGCTGCATTCCCTGTAATGAAATATCACCAAAGGGCAGAGGGATGCTCTCCACTACATTCACCCCAATTATCACCCTAGATGCATGAGGTCCCCTAAGGGACTCTGCCACTCTCGTAGGGCTATTTGGGGAAAAGGCACAGGACTGGTCTGTGTTGGGTGGCCCCATGCCAGCTAGAACTCCTGGGATGGAGCAGGAGAGGGTTTTGGAGAATCTCCCAGCTCTCGTAAGAATATACCTAATGCTAAATGACGAGTTAATAGGTGCAGCACACCAGCATGGCACATGTATACATATGTAACTAACCTGCACATTGTGCACATGTACCCTAAAACTTAAAGTATAATAATAATAAAAGAAAAAAAGAAAAAAAAAAGAAGTGATTCTGAGTGTTTGGTTGCAAATACAAAGGGCCCGTGGGGCTGGTGTCCTCCAGAAGCACAGAGAAATTTTAGAGTTCCCAAGATTTGAGCTAGAATTGCCCCCCTGCACTCATCTCTATAAAGAGTTTGGGTATAAAGCCTACACATGGTGAAACCTTGTCTCTACTAAAAATGCAAAAATTAGCCGGGCGTGGTGGCACACACCCATAGTCCCAGCTACACTGGAGGCTGAGACAGAAGAATTGCTTGAACCTGGAAGGCGGAGGTTGCAGTGAGCCGAGATCACACCACTGCACTCCAGCCAGGGCGACAGGAGCAAAACTCCATCTTAAACAAACAAACAAACAACTTCCAGTTTTTTCAGATGAGAATATTGAATCTTCTAAATATAAAGGTGTTTGTATCTTCTAAGCAAGACTCACAATCATCTCTCTCTTTTTTTTTTTTTGACAGAGTCTCACCCTGTTGCTCAGGCTGGAGTGCAGTGGCACAGTCTCGGTTCACTGCAGCCTCTGTCTCCTGGGTCTATAACTTATTTTAAAAAACCACAGTATTTTTATGGAGGAAAAAGGAAGATGTTCATATTCCAGTGCCATTTCACACTACATCAGGATGAGGGATTTCAGACCGCTTACTCTGCTGCCATCTTACTTCTCTGGCTCTGAGTGTTTACAAATCTTAATTTTGGGGTTTCCCAGTGGGAAATTTTTTCCTTAGTACTTTCTTTGTGATTTAAAAGGTTTACAAAGAATATATTCATAGCAACATTACATAACTACCACCACTTACTTTTCCCTAAGGCTTTTTCCAATTTTTATCTATATCTGTAAATAGTTTTTAGAGAGCTGCAATAATTTAATATGCATGACTCTATGTTTATTTTCTACCCAATATGCATTTCATATACAATTTTTAGGTGGGCTTAATGTTCATAATTTTAATGGATTTATAATATTCTATTGAGTTGAAATATCAGAACTGATTTCACAATTCCTCTGCCCTAGACAATTGAGCATGTTTTTCCATTTTGGGAGCTATTTAAAATGTTGATACTATAGATATCTTTAAATATATGGATTTTCACATTTAAATTATTGTATAGACTAACAGGAATGCAATCTCTGGGTCATTTTTTATAGCAGTCATTAAATTTTGTTTTTTTTCCACTCAAAAAAGTTTAAGCCAATTTATAAAGCCATCAGTAGTGCATGACTATAATTACTTTCTCAGCATCAGGGCTTACATTTTTTCTCTATTTGTGCTCATTTGCTAAGTATAAAGTTTTACTTTTTAATATTTTTTCTTTGTATTTGTTTAACTGTGAGCAAAGTCAAACATATTTCAAATGTTGGTTTACTATCTCAGATCCTTCTTAATACAGTGATTGTGTATCTAAGGCAGTCTTATCATGTTCCAAGGGGAAAAGTTTAACAGCCAATTTTATCATCTTTGAAACACTTGAAAGGATGAATAGACAGGTCACAGGGATGAACTCTTACTTGTTTTGCTATCTCTGCCTTATGTGGCTGATGCAGACTCCCAAAGATTCCCCGAGGTGCCCCAACCTTCCAAGTCTTCCTGGAGACACCTTTTTAGAACCCTGTTCCTTTAAACTCCCCAACCAAAACTCTGAGCCAGTTCTGTAGCCAGTTCAGGTGAAAGTTGTTCTTATCTGGTCCCCTCAGCATAGACAGCAGTGAATGGGAGGTCATGGCCATTTTTACAAATCAACCAGGTGACCCTGTCCACACCTGTCGTGCCTTTATTCTGTCCCTGTCCTGCTAGCTGGTTCTCACCCTCACTACTCATCACTGTGCATGACTCTTGAAATGAAGAGTCATGTGTTGAATCGAAACTTAATTTTTTTTTGAGACGAAGTCTCACTCTGTCGCCAGGCTGAAGCGCAGTGGCGCAATCTCGGCTCACTGCAACCTCCGCCTCCCGGGTTCAAGTGATTCTCCTGCCTCAGCCTCCCAAGTAGCTGGGATTACAGGCACGCACAACCATGCCCAGCTAATTTTTGTATTTTTAGTAGAGATGTGGTTTCACCACGTTGGCCAGGATAGTCTCGATCTCTTTTTTTTTTGAGATGGAGTCTGGCTTTGTCGCCCAGGCTCGAGTGCAGTGGCGCGATCTCGGCTCACTGCAAGCTCCACCTCCTGGGTTCACGCCATTCTCCTGCCTCAGCCTCCCAAGTAGCTGGGACTACATACAGGTGCCCACCACCACGCCCGGCTAATTTTTTGTATTTTTTAATAGAGATGGGGTTTCGCCATGTTAGCCAGGATGGTCTCGATCTTCTGACCTTGTGATCTGCCCGCCTCGGCCTCCCAGAGTGCTGGGATTACAGGCGTGAGCCACCGCCCCCGGCCGGTCTTGATCTCTTGACCTCGAGATCTGCCTGCCTCAGCCTCCCCAAATGCTGGGATTACAGGCGTGAGCCACCGCGCCCAGCAGAATCTAAACTTAATTTTCTAAAGAGACTCAATCCAATTTCACAAACATGACTCAAATATTGCCAACTGACAGGTGTTTTCTAAGTCATGCATTAGGCCTCCCACTGGCCCCTTCCTGAACAAGTCCACCTTTCTCACTCAAGTCTATCTAAAGGTGTGCTCTATTAAGTAGCAGGGCAGGTAGAAAATAAGGGCTCTGTAGATGTGGACCATGTCACCTGGATCCTTTGTTAAAATGGCCTTAGCCCCCACCCCCTGTGACTCCCCCGGCCTTTGCTGGTCTCTATGGTGAGAAGACCAGAAAAGGACAAGTTTCAACTTTGAAGTTTCAAAGTCTAATATTAAGAAATTCAGAATGGCAATAGTTATAGACTACTGGGGGAAAATGTATAAATTATGAATAAATGAGCCTTTTATCCAACACTCCACATTAAAATCAAACTCTAGCCAACATTTTCCCTTTACAAATTTGTCTTCTGAACCCCCAACCCTGGGTCCCTCCATATCAAAAAGGACTAGACAGCACGTCATAGTGAAAAACCAAAGAACCAAAGTCACATGGACCTGGGCTCCTGCATTTTCTCACCATGTGATCTTAGAGGTTAAGTCTCTTAATCTCTCTAGGCCTCTGCTTCCTCTTTTGTTAAAACACCTCCCTTGCAGGGTATTGTGATGTCTAAGGACTGTACACACAAAGTTTAGGTCACATAATAGAGGTTCAATAGATGATGGACTCTTAAAACTAAAAAGCAATCCCATCACCACCGGCACCATTATCAATAGATCACCCTCAGAGAGGATAATAAATTTGAAGATGCATAACGAGAAATTAACTATTGGAATTTGTCGAAATTTCATGGGCAGAAGAATGGAGTCACAGAACAATAGAGGGCCAAACCCAGTGCTCTTCTTCCCAGTCCCCACCCATGGCCCAGAGCTCCCACCAGCAATCCCAGTCCAGGGTCTGCAGGCATCTGACTGGGAGGGCGCACAAAGCCTCTTGCAAACACACTGCACTTCCTCTGCACCCTCTGTGCTGTGGAATTCCAGAGGTTCAGGGAGTTATGTGCCAGAAGGCAGCTCGCCAGCTTCATAATTTCAATCCCTTGACTAGTGACACACCTGGCTGTGTCCACTGATGAGCACTTCTTCAGCAAAGTGCACCTTCACGGGGTTGGTCTTCAGTCTGGCTCTCTTCTCCTCGGTCAGGAAGGACGATTTAGGGACTCCCTGAAAAACAGTAACATGATGCATTTTGGAACAGTGCTTTCATAAAAGCCAGGTATATCTATCTTCTCATTTCTTAAAAACAGAAACTTTGATAGCTGTTGCAGATTCAATTTAAACCCACAGGAAAGGATGATATCCCATTATAGGTATTTTCATAAAATCTAGGGATCCCAAGCCAGATAATGTTCTCGTGTACCTGAGAATAGTTGGACATTCAACATGGTAGCAAAATAGCTGTGATACGATGAAGACAAAGAGTTCTGGCCTGTGAATGGGACTATCTGAATTCCAACTCATGTTTTACTGCTCAATAGTTGTGAGAACTATCTCAAACTCAAATTCTTATGAAAGAAAACCAGGTACGTGTGTAAAGCACAACAAAATAACTGTGTGACTTTGGTCCAGTCCTTGCCGCTCTCTGGCCTTCAGAGTCTTCCCATCTACACAATATAGGAGTTAGACGGGGTTCCCTGAAACTCTGACCCTTATGACTTACCCTTGGCTCCACTTCGCTCTTATCTTTTGGAAGGTACCTTCTTTTCCCAAAGAAGTAAAGAGAGTCATCACAGGTTGGTATGAGTATATGGTGAAGACTTTGGACTAGATTGTATCAGGCCAACTTGTGACACTTGCTGAATAGCATCTTACATGATCTTCTAGACCAACAGGCTGTGACCTTCCTGGATGAAATCCTGATACACTATTTTCCAGCCTAACAGCCTATGTTCCCTTGGTGTGGACAGTCCTTTAGACCAGCCTCTAGAATGTTTCCATGTGTAAAAGTACCAAGATGAAACTCTGGGCCACGTTCTGTGAAGATGGGAGAAGAGATACATAACAACAATCAGGGAAACTGTTGGAAACAGTGTTCATAGACTCAAACACCAACAGACCGAAGCCATGAAGTACATGAAGTGAACAAGTTGCCCTGAAATTTTAATGCAAAAAGATAAATGTGATTCTCATGGGTAACTAGAACCTTGGCATGACAGGATTCATGACTATGACTCAACATCTCAAATATATAATTTGCTTTAAAACAAAAAAAATTAGTAGAAAAGCAGGGAAATAATAATGTTTGCAGAGAAGAAGTACACCTGTAGAAATAACAGAAGGGATAGGAGGAATAAGAGAAAGAAAAAGTTCCAACCCAAAATTAGTGATAAGACTATCAGATTGCTTCGAATGAGCTGAAGACTCCCATACCTCTTGAATCTAGGGGGCTTGTGGACCTATAATATGTAACAGTTGGTATCATCCACGGAACAGAGAATGGAAGAAATGTTAGGAGACTAAAGATGGTCAAATATCAAGTTTTCCGGAAAATGAACATGGAGGATTTAGGAAAACACATATTGATTAGTTTGTCGTTAATTCTTGGCAAAATCAGGCTGCGTGCAGTGGCTCCTGCCTGTAATCCCAGCGCTTTGGGAGGCTGAGGCAGGCAGATCACCTGAAGCCAGGAGTTTGAGACTAGCCTGGCCAACATGGCGAAACCCCATCTCTATTAAAAATACAAAAATTAGCCGAGCGTGGTGGTGCATGCCTTTAGTCCTAGCTACTCGGGGGGCTGAAGCAGGAGAATTGCTTGAATCCAGGAGGTGGAGGTTGCAGTGAGCCGAGATTGCACCACTGTACTCCAGCCTGGATGACAGAGGAAGACTACATCTCAAAAAAAAAAAAAAAATATATATATATACACACACACACACACACACACACACACATATATACACATACACACACACACATACATATATATATATTTTTTTTTTCTCGGCAAAATCCAAGATAAGAGATAGTCAGAGAGCTTTTAGACAGTGATCACTAACAGCCAATATGGAGTTACCAAGAACAAGTCAGAGCCAATCAAGTTCATTTTTCCTTTGAAGAGAGAAGTCCATATTGGTAGACCAGGGTTCTATGGATATAGTAGTATTCCTTCATTCTTGCAAAGCATTTGATAAGGTCTCCTATAATCCCCCTGTGGAAAAGGCCAGATGCAGTGCCATTAGGTGGATTCATAAACTAGTTGATATATATACTCAAAATAGTCCTGATTTCTAACTAAGTAACTTAGTCTCAATCCTCAACAGTGATATTTAGCAATGCCTTGGTTGAAGCCCCAGAGAGTGAACTTGCCAAACCTGTGAAGGACAGAGCTGCAAGGTGTCATCAGATATCAGGCAGCAAGAATTTGGGGGGCAAGGTCAAGGAACTGGGAATCTAAAAGAGGGTGCATGAGAAACTTAAGGACCAGAGATAGCTATGGGTCAAAGGCCAGGAAATCACTAAAAACAAATATAAGAGGGTATAAGGAGCTGGGCTGTCAAGAGCTGCAGGGAACAAGATAAAGTGAGTGGTCAAAGCAACAGGTACAACCACCAACCCCCCAAAGACTCAAAGGAATAAAAAATCAGGGGCAGAACAGAGGAGAGATGCAGAGAGAAAAGGAATCTGCAGGAAGAAAACACTGTTGTCTCTCACCTTCGGGAGATAAATCCTGGAAGAATTAGGCCCAGAGCTGGATCATGCTCAAGAAAATCAACTGGCAGGAAACTGAAGGAACTGGGGTAGACTTAGGAAGAGGAGGTTCCCTGACAGGAAGTCATTGGAAAATGACTACAGCTGTCAACTGTACAAATAAGCCTTTCAGCCCCACAATTCCCTGACTGTAAAATCTCAGCATGCCAGAACACTGGGCAAAAGCAACATGACAGGGATTAATGTGAAGTGTGGTGTTGAGCATCCAAAAAATCAATTGCACAGAATTCAATTCAATTGCACAAGCATGGAACTGAAGGGACGTGGCTTGGAAGCTATCCCTTGGAAAACCAGCTCAGTATTTAGTTGGTCACCAGTTTCACCCAAGCCGACAGTGTGATTGAGCCTGCGAAAATGTTAACCCAATCTTGGGCTTTACTAGCGTTCTTGGTGCATGTCCACTCCCCATGGTACTCAGCACTGGTTGGTCATTGGTGGAACTGTGTTCCTTTCTGGGTGCCACTATTTGGGAGGGTCACCATAAAATTGGACTCTTGTCCCGAAAGCTCTCAGAGAAGTGAAAATTCAGGAAAACCCATCTATGAGGAATGGTCAACGGCACAGTTGTTTAGCCTAGAGAAGGTCACTCTTCCAAATCGTTGCCATTTCATACAAAGTGGACTTGCTCCGAGCTACTTGGTGGGAGTCACAGGGAAGAAGGGCCGTTCTTACATTTGGAACCACCCAACCATGAAACTGGCTGCTTTGGGAAAAAAAAATGCTGACATGAAAATGCCCAACACACAGGCCCCACTGTGGCTCCCGTACTTTTATACCTGAACATCAGCTCTGCTACCATGAATATCTTGGCATCTAGAACATATTATAAACCACCTACTTACACCCACTTCAGCCATCTCATATTTTAAAGAGACAATTCAAAGGATATGAGCTACTCATTATTCTAGAACTTCTAAGCTCTCTCTGGATTCTAAATTAATTCATCACAAAGCAGCAGACCTCAGCTGATAAAATCTCTTTGTGCATGTTTTTCGCTGAACTAAGAGTTAATGTTTAAAAGGGCACTGAAAAGGGACACGTTGGAAAACATTCCTGTATCTTTTGGCAATACCCTCTGCCCTGGGCTACACAATGTCACTCACAAAGGCAGCAGGGTTTACAGAGGTACAACAGCATATCACTAAGGAATGTGGGTTCCGGAGTCTACCTGGAAAGCAACCCAACTTCACTGATTTCTGCATGTGAGACCATGGGCGTGTGAGGCCCATGGCATCCTCATCTGTAAAAGGGGAATAATGAGTGTATCTTCCTCGTAGCATTTCCTTTTGGTGCAAATTAAATAAGACAATAAATACTGGTATTAATATTATTACAAATAATTAATGTATTATAGACAATGAATATAGACAATACAGATCTACAAATTTAAACCAGAACATTTTCATAAAATTCTACGTTCTAGGGAAGCAGTGATTAATGTTGCAACTGTGGATTTTATCATTCCTAATCAATTTCAAGTAATCTGAGGACTCCAAGAATCTACCACGACAACAATGAGGCTCCTTGCTAAAGCAAGACATATATGATCATTTTGCAATGTTTTTAAAATTCTTCAGGGCCAGGCGCAGTGACTCACACCTGTAATCCCAGCACTTTGGGAGGCCGAGGCAGACGGATCACTTGAGGTCAGGGGTTCAAGACCAGCCTGGCCAATATGGTGAAACCCTGCCTCTACCAAAAAATATAAAAATTAGCCAGGCGTGGTGGTGCATGCCTGTAATGCCAGTTACTCAGGGGACTGAGGTGGGAGAATTGCTTGAACCCAGGAGGCGGAGGTTGCAGTGAGCCAAGATCACGCCACTGCACTCCAGCCTGGGTGACAGAGCAAGACTTCATCTCAAAAATAAATAAAATAAGATAAAATAAAATAAAACAAAACAAAATAAAATAAAATAAAATAAAATAAAATAAAATAAAATAAAATAAACTTCTTCGGAGCAGTTCTGGTGAGAGGCCCAGGAGCAGGCTAGCCAATATTTAGGGCATTTCTCAGAGGCACTGGTGGCCACAGACTGGGCTAATGCCAGTTCTCCCTGAGAGACCTCCAGAGCACGTTCCTCTCTTCCTGGAAATCTTGTAGGAATCTCAGGAGTGGTACTGGACACATACCAATTTTTACCTTCCCATACTTTTTATTATTTAAAGGATTCAGCTCTATGCTGTTGCCCTTGCTCCCTACATTAAGTATTTTCTTTTGCTCATTTCTTGGAAACAGATCAGGAAAAAACCTGCCTGATTAAGATTAAGATACTCTCCAATGAGATGATAACCAGCTAAACAAAAAGGACCTAACACCTTCACTACCATTTATACTGATTAGATTTCCCTGTTTCCATATTGGTTTCACATTATTTAATAGACAAATTCTGTTAAGAATAGAAGAACTTCCATTTATCGATACCTAAAATACTTGGTCTGACATATTTATGGCAAACATCTTCATCCTCATTAGGTAGGTTTTTTCCTACTCTATTTCCAAGAAATAAAAACAAAAGATAACATTTGTCAAATACAGAGAGGAGACAACACTTTCTCTGCTTTCTAGTTTATGAAGTGTTTGGACCACAGAAGGTTTATATTTTCATGTAATCAAATCACCTTTGTTCCACTGTGCTTCCTTCCACGCCCTAAATGCGTAGGCAACCTTTCTACAGCCTATGACCAGACAGACATCCATCCATATTGTTTGTATTTTTAGAGTTGAGACTGTATTTTTTCCAAATACTTAAACAAATGTCCAAGTTTGATTTCTTGAATAATTGCCTTTTCTCCCACAGATTTGGAATGCTATGTTTTTCACAAACTATATACATATATATACACACACACACTATATATAGTTATATATAAATGGTCATATATATATAGGTCTCTCTATATATATGGTCTCTCTCTCTCTCTCTACATATATATATATATACGGTCTCACCTTGTCACCCAGGCTGGAGTGCAGTGGTGCGATCTCAGCTCACTGCAGCCTCGACTTCCTGGGCTCAAGCGATTCTCTCACCTAAGCCCCTGCCAGCTATAATCATTTTGTTTTTGTTTTTGTGTTTGTAGAGATGGGATTTTGCCATGTTGCCCAGGCTGGTCTTGAACTCCTCAGCTCAAGCTATCCGCCACCCTCAGCCTCCCAAAATGCTGGGATTACAGGCATGAGCCACTGCACCCAGCCTCACATACTATGTTCCTATACTAGCATCTACTCTTGAACTTTTTATCTGATTACATTGACATGTTCAACATTTCACCAATATCATACTGTTTTAATAATTGTAGCTTTGTTCGTTTTTAAACCTGCCTATCAAGGCCATCCTCATTATCCTTTTTAAAAAAGGTTTTCTTGAGATAAGTCTCACTTTGATATACTTTGTTAAATCCAAATGAAAGTCCCGTAAGAGTTTGCTTGAATTTGTATTAAGTATATATATTAATATAATAACTGATATATTAATAATACTTAGTCTCCCCATCAAGGAACATAGTATGTATCTCCTTTTATGTTATTTTTTTATATATGTCAGTAATAGTCTAGTTTCCTCCACATGAGACTCCCATATCTCTTTCCCTTAAGGTTTTTGTATTTTATATAACTTTTGTCTTTAAAGAAATAGCTTTTGGACTTAACAACATTACAATCTTTCTGTTTTCCAGAGGATCATTTATATTTTAATTTTTATTACTTTATTCTGCTTTATGTTTGTTTTATTAATCTTTTCTTCTAACTTCTTGCACTGAATATTTAATTGATTTACTTCTGTATTAAATGATAAAAACACTCAAGGCCATGAATTTTACTCTGAGTGTAGCTTCAACTGCACATAATTACTTTTAAGAAGTACAGTTCTGGCCTGGCATGGTGGATGACGCCTGTAATCCCAGCACTTTGGGAAGCCGAGGCAGGTGGATCACCTGAGGTCAGGAGTTCAAGACCAGCCTGGCCAATGTGGCGAAACCCTGTCTCTACTAAAAATACAAAAATTAGCTCAGCATGGTGGTGGGTGCTTGTAATCCCAGCTACTTGGGAAGTTGAGGCAGGAGAATCACTTGAACCCAGGAGGTGGCGGTTGCAGTGAACTGAGATCACGCCATTGCACTCCAGTCTGCACGACGGGAGTGAGACTCCATCTCAAGAAAAAATAAAAGAAGTACAGTTTTAATTTTCAATTATTTTCTAAATAGTCTATAATGATAGTTTTTCTTTTTCTATTTGACTCAATCTTTACTTAGGAAATTACATTTTTATTTCCAAATGGCTGAATGGTTTTTAATTGAATTTTTAATAGTTATTAGCTTCTATTTTATTATATTCGGAAAAAGGGACCTGCACAGTTTTTCATTTGGGGAATTTATTGAGTTTTCTTGGTAGCCTGGTATGTGGTCAATTAAATTAGATTATTAAGTACATTATTCAAATTCTCTATGCCCCTCTTTTTTATTTTGGTCTATTTGTGGCCAAGGCTAAGAAGTACTATTAAAATTTCTCACAATGAAAATTTTCTATCAACTTTTGAAAAACTATCTCCTTAGTAGTTTTTCCTTTGAAAATTTGATTATATACTTTCCCTAAATAATACATAAGGAGCTCCTCGGCCTGTGGTGGTTTAGGATTGCCGCTTCCTCCCTGTGCATCATCTATGCCACACCTTGCCGTGTGGTGAGCCTCAGAGCTGATAAAATACTTTCATATCCAACATCTCATTTGGTCCTTCTAACAACCCATTAAACAGACAAGGCAGTTATTGTCATGACTATTTTACAAAAGTGAAAACTGAAACTAAATGATTTTCCCAAAGTCATACCACTCAAACCTGTCTTGAAACTCCAGTTTGGTGCCCTTACCATCATCCTACTGTGCATAGCCATAGGTCCATCTCCTCAGCTGGACCATAAATTCTTGAGGCCTTCACCATATCTGTTTCCTCCACAGTACTTGCATGGAGGAGGTCTTCAGATAACATGGACTGACTGGCCACCCACTGCCGGGCAGCTGTCACCCTCCACCCTTTGCCTTCCCCGCTTACTTTATGAGGGATATCCTCTGGGGGAACAGGGTCTTAGGGCCAAGAATGGTGAAACTAACACACAGGACATAGAAAGAGATTTACCGACGTGCAGCGAACAACTGTGATTGAAAGAGAATCTTCTGCTTCCCTGAAAAAAGAAAGAATAAAGACAAAAACATTTAGTCGTTCTGCGTGATGGATGCACGTGCATGCATACATGTGTGAGCATGTGTGTTAGGGTCAAAAAGACTGGCAGAATGAGTATAAAGCAGCCTCCTTTGCCTTAGCTTTTTTGGCTCAGCAAAACTGAGAAAGATATTGGGAAATGCAGCAACCTGCAAAGGAACTTAAGCTGACCCAGAGAGCTCCTCCCACCTGGAGGGAATTTTCGTAAGTTCACCTCTACCATCTAGTCTATATCTACAGCCACAACATTAATTAAGGCACTTAGCCTTAATTTAGTCCTATACAATGAAGAACTCATCCAGTGACAACCAGCTAGATTTATGTCCCCCAATTTTTTTTTTTTTTTTTTTTTGTGAGACAGAGTCTTGCCCTGTTGCCCAGGCTGGAATGCAATGGCGCAATCTTGGCTTGCTGCAACCTCCGCCTCCCGGGTTCAAAGAATTCTCCTGCCTCAGCCTCCCGAGTAGCTGGGACTACAGGCACCCGCCACCACACCCAGCTAATTTTTTAGTAGAGATGGGATTTCACCATGTTGGTCAGGCTGGTCTCAAACTCCTGACCTGGTGATCTGCCCACCTCGGCCTCCCAAAGTGCTGGGATTACAGGTGTGAGCCACCGTGCCCAACCCAAAAAAATTTTTTAGGAGAAAATATGGCAATAACACAGATAACTCAGGTTGCTATTTCATAAAACTCAGGCTAAACATTTCACTAAACAGAATGAATGTCTGTGGATAACGTTTATCAGATAAAAGCCAAAGAGTTTATGGTGTTTGGGCACACAAAGTCGGTGTAATGAGCCCAATCATATAATCAAGATAGTAGACATCTTTGTCTTGCATTATCTCTTAGATTTCAAAAGTGATCAAATCAAGCAGATAACTGCTTGACCTCTACTTTATATTAGCGGCCAGAACAGAGAAAATCGATCATATTTTCCTTTCTCTTTGCCACTGCTACCATGGAGAAGCAGTTGGCAAAATAATTTCATTTGACTTCTTGCAATATGAACATTTAGGCCAATTGCTGCTGGTGTGTTATTTCCTCAAAAGGATAAACTCAACCCAAGATGTCTAAGTGTCTAGGGACTTCCTCTTTTCCATTTTAAATGAGAACAGGCCTTTTCTGAGATAAATCACAATAAACCCAAATGCAAGTGCTCTAAAAGGACATACTGGCCTCATAGCTATTTGGAGGAATTTGAGATGTTTTCTTGGCATTGTTGTTGTATCTTTTTGTTTTGCTTTGTGTTTTACCTTTTACACGTGACACTGAATAATACATGCTGGTTTTAGACACTGGGAACTAAGCTTAAAAAAAGTAAGGCGTCCTGGGATTCTCACATGCAAAAGACAGCAGAGGGTACAGATGCACAGCACACCTCAAGTCATGCATCCCTGCTCAGAAGCCTTCAACTGCTCGCCCTTCCAGGGGGAGAATCACACTGAAACATGCTGTGCTGGCATTCAAGACCTTCTATCATCTGGACTTCACTTCCTAGAACTTTTCTGCAGGCAAACTGAACTGCTCAGCAGCCCCTACTTCCCACCCAGTTGCTTCTGTTTACCTCTTTGCCTGAATCACCCTTCACCTCCATCTTTTGGACCAAATTTTACCCAGCATTAAAGACACAACTGAAATATTTCTGGGCCCTTCTCTGTTTTGTCAGCCTACAACTTCTGCCCAAGTTGGAGGACTCTCCAGCATTTACAGTGTATTTCCTTGGCTTTTCTTTTCTTTTTCTTTCTCTCTTTTTTTGAGATGGAGTCTTGTTCTGTCACCCAGGCTGGAGTGCAGTGGTACAATCGTGGCCCATTGCAACCTCTGCCTCCCGGGTTCAAGCGATTCTCCTGCCTCAGCCACCCGAGTAGCTGGGATGGGAAGACCACTTGAGCCCAAGAGTTTGAGACCAGCCTAGGCAACACAGCAAGTCCCCATCTCAAAAAAAAAGGGAAAAAAAAACAATTAATACCACCCCAAAGCCAGATCAGCCATTCATGAAAAATCACAAACTGAATTTTATATATATATATATATCTCTTCAAGTTAGCTTTCATCTACCTCTGATTCTCGTCTGTCTTTATACTAGTCATTAGAACAATGTTGAGTGAAAAATTTAAAAGCCAAAGCTTCATGTGCCCTTAAAATGTCTGCTTGTCCTCTTCACTCCTATCAATGGCACTCCTCCGTCTTAAAGTCTGGGTTGCCAATTCCCAGCGCTAACCATATTCACTCATTTAACTGAGCACCCACTGAGCCCTGGTCTCAGGAAATCATTGTCTAGGTAAAAAGCGAGGCATTTTCATAAGTCACAATGACACCAGACAGAAGGTTTGGAGGTGCTACATCAATGAAACTACATATATGCCAACCAAGATGCACCTGCAATTATATTTAAGAAGATATATCAAGAGGGATAAAGAAGAACAGATTTGGCATCAATTTAGTTCAATCTTTGGCATATGTTACAACGTGCCTATAAATCCTTAGAGGGTAGGGCCTGTGGGTTATTTATGATCATTACATTCCCTGCATGCTTAGCACGGTGTCTTGGGCATAGCAGGGCTTTGACAAATACAGCACTCTGTGCCTCCCAAGCTCTTTTGTAGGCAAGTGAGAGAGAGTGGACTGTAACAGCCACTAACAAGAAGCCGTTTTAATAGATGGAACTCTAAAACGAGGCTGTTTTTGCTGCTTTAAAGGAGACTTAGCCTTATTAAAATCAGGGGATCAGTTATGCCATTCCTGTTGCCCATCTTTGTTCTTTGATAATCTGTGCAATTCTGTAGATGATGGAAGACCATTTAGTACCTGAGAATATCGACTGCTCGTTCCCAGGAAAGGTCTTCAGCAGGCTCATTGTTCATTTGGAGGATCTGATCACCAGGGAAAAGCTTGCCGTGAGCAGAGCCTCCTGTTGGACAGAAAATAAGTAATTGGTGCTCATGCCGGGAGGACCCAGACTCTATGTGTAATAGCGGCACAGTTAAATGGCACCCTGATCCAGTTCCCAGGGGCACTGGCTCACTCCCCCGCCTTCAGTCAGGCTTGGGCTCATGTGGATCTTAATTTTCCTGTTTATAAACCATGGATAATGTACCTATCATCTATCACCAACTTCCAGGGATGTTAGAAGACTGTCCTGAGAAAGAAAACTAGCAGAAACCTTCTAAATCAATAGAGTTGGCCAGTAAATCTACTCCATTCATCTCTAAAAAACTCTGGTGTGTATGTGTAGTAAATAGAAATCAATACATTTTAACGAATCCCAGATTAACACACCTCAATTATGAAAACAAGCACTGGACTTTCCCCACCTGCTCCTCTCCACCCTGGTACAGCCTGTATTTCACAAGGTTCAAATGAAAACAAATCAATGGTTTCTATTACTGTCTGACCAGAAAGTATCCCCAGCTAGGAGCGTGTGGGGTTCAAAGAGGAAGGCTAGCTTAGCCAAATACTTTCACTGCCCCTGAGACCAGCCAGGGAGCCAAGGGTGGGCAACGCCCTAGCCAAGGCCAGTGGGAGCCTGGGGTTTGGAGCGGCAAGTGCACTTGAGGCTTCCTCCCTCCCAGCATCAAAGTAAGGTGCAAAGCCCAAGACAGAATTAGGTGTGCCTTTTCTAACTTCCCAGGTAGGATTTTCTGCATTTTGTTATAGGATAGAGAGATCGGGGAGATTTGGGGCTATTTCCCCTTAAGAAACCAAACTCCTTTCTCATTTCCCAGTCATCCCCTACCTGCTGTGACAGCCACCACTGTAAGGGGAAGGCTCTCAGAAATGTGAAATCCATAGTCCTGGAGGAGGGTGTCTTTGTCTATCTTTACTGTGTGTCGCACAGGGATGAGGGTCTGAGTTGGGTTCCTGGCGGGCCCATCAGCTGCAGCAACTTTAGCCCTGGAAGAGAAGGAGTATGTAAAAAAGAGAAAGAGAAGACTCTAGTTGTTGGTCACGAACTGGGTCAGCCCTAAGCATCATGGAGAAAGATGCAGAACTGAGCAGACACCAATTCTCCTCTTGAGACAAATAAGACACCAACTCCACTAGCAGAACTTAGGACTGTCCTCTAAAAGAGAAGTCGTATTGCCAGGCATTCTTAATGAGCTAATGCTAAATATCTAGAAAGCGCCCAGGAAGTGCTATGGACACACAGAGAAGGGGGAGAGCAGTTTCACCTTTGTAGGGCAGGGAATAGGGAATCAGGGACGCATCTGGTACTTGGAAGAGGTGGCATTTGAGCTGCACTCTGAGACATGTCTAGGGTATACCTATACAGCCCAGATCCTGGCACACAGAAGATATTCAATAACTGCTGCTGAGTGAATCAATGAATGAATGGATGGATGGATGGATGGATGGATGGATGGATGGATGGACGGACTGACAGAAGAACAGGCAGATGGGCATCCCAGGCAGGACATACTGCTGGAGTCAGAGGTACAGGAGAGGAAAAACATGGATGGTGAGCAGAAACAAGGAGTTGTCAGGTTCAGATGTTTGATGACGGATAATTTTATAGCAAGATTTTGTCTTTGGTGATGTTTTTCTTTGTTTCTTTATGATGAATTTTGCTTCCCTTTAAGCTTTGTAACTGCAAGGTTTCCAATATAAAATCTCAGATAGCAAGGACTCCCTCTATATCAACTTTTAAAACATGTATGTTCCTTAAAAGCAGGAAAGTAATATTTTCTATCTCTCAAAGAGAGAAACCACAAAGCGAGTCACAAGTTATTTGTCATTCACCTGTGGCAAATGATTTTTCCCTCTAACAGTCAGTGGTTCTTTCTGAGGAAGGTCAAATAGTGATGGGATGAGGTGTTTATTGTCATTATGAACAACAGAAATGTGAAGGAGTAATAGCTGTCTTGGGACTCTGCGGTTAAGGTCTATCATTTATTCTCATCCATTTACCAAACACTTTCAGGAACCCTGCCTAATGCAATAGGCCCTCACTTATCTGAAAATCATCTCCCTCTCATTTATAATGATCTCCAGTTTCAACAAGGATCCGGAAATATGAAAAACTGTCTCACAGAGCCAAAATGTAAGTGACAAGCACAAGTCCAAAGTCTCGTGTACACTATCCACCAAGGATCCCCCCCAGGCCCTGACTTAGAGCAAATTTAGGATCTGTATGAATAGATGACCCAGCCCACACAACCTAGAAGCAGAGGGAGTCTTTCTTCTAGGCCAGCATGCAGGTAATACTGAGCTGGAGCAGCAGAGAGACCTAATGAGAGGGAAGAAACAGAAAACTGAAAATTCACACTAAATAAAGCCCATAGCTCTTCCTGATTTTTTTTCAATCTTTTATTTATTTATTTATTTATTTATTTATTTATTTATTTATTTTGAGGGAGGGTTTTACTCTGTCACTCAGGCTAGAGTGCAGTGGCATGATCTCAGCTCACTGGTTCAAGCGGTTCTCATGCCTCAGCCTCTTGAGTAGCTGGGACTACAGGCTCGTGCTACCACACCCGGTTAATTTTTTGTATTTTTAGTAGGGATGGGGTTTCTCCATGTTGTCCAGGCTGGTCTCAATCTTCTGAGCTCAAGTGATCTGCCTCTCAGCCACCCAAAGTGCTGGGATTACAGGCAGGAGCCACCGCACCCAGCCTATTCCTGATTTTGTAAAAAACATTTAGAGCTATAAAAAGGTTTTTCTAAATGCAATAAATAACACTCTATACTAAAAGTCAAAAATCAACATTTGACATTACAGGTGCAGTGCCTCATGCCTGTAATCCCAGCACTTAGGGAAGCTGAGGCTAGCTAATCACTTGAGTCCCAGAGCTCAAGACCAGCCTGGGCAACATGGCAATACCCTGTCTCTATTAAAAATACAAAAAAATAGCAGGACTTGGTGGTGTACACCTGTGGTACCAGCTACTCAAGAGGCTGAGGTTGCAGTGAGCTGAGATCATGCCACTGCTCTCCAGCCTGGGTGACAGAGCGAGACTATCTCAAAAACAAACAAACAAACAATTTGGTGTTTTATTTAATGTAGTAGGATAAATGCTAATAATAGTTATCAGGGAAGGAAAAATGACAAGAGGAATAATGAGCACAGGAATGGAAAAGTACCACCTTATTATTTTTTTTTTGTTTTTTAGCAGATGACATTCACACAGAAAATGATGAACAAAGAAAATTTTTAGTGCCAGAAGATAAGTTTAGTGGAGATGCAGGATAAAAACACAAAACACAGCCACAAAAAGGATCAAACAATTCATTAAAAGCAGATTAGCTGAATGTACATTCGGTGTTAGGCATTCTTAATGAGTGAATGCTAAATATCTAGAAAATGCCAAGAAAGGATTCAAGTAACAAAACTAGTGATGTGTACTAATGTAATTCAGGGGAAGAAGGATTTATTTAAAGAAAATAATATAACTTTCCTTAAAGCAATAAAGGAAAACACAATAATTGGGTTAAAGTTATGCTGGGTTCCTGGATGGAAACACTAAGTATCAAAAAAAAAAAAAGTTCTAAATTAAATAGAGATTTAATGTAATATAAATAAAAAATTCTTCCAGATTAAAAAACAACTTGACAAATTGATGGTAATCACAGCAATAACGACAATAATAATTAATAACATTTATGAATACTAACTATATTTTAGGGAGTGATTTAACATTATATATATATATATATCTCACTCAACCCTCAAACTTTTGAGGTGGGTACAATTATTATTCCTGTTTTATAGGTGAAAAGACTAAATCTTGCTCTGAGAGATTTTAACTTGCTTAAAGTCATACAGCTGGGAAGCAGGTTTCAAATTGGGGCTACTTTCTTCAATAGGCACACTAGCACTGCTTCTAGAGCAGTGCGGTCCAAATGAAATATACACACCGCATACGTAAATTTAAGTTTTCTAATAGCTACATAAAAACAGGAAAAAAATAAGTGAAATAAATTTTAATAACATATATTTTATTTAACTCAATATATCCAAAATAGTATCATTTCAACTCGTAGTTAATACAAAAAATTATTGATGAGAGATTTTGCATTCTTTCATATTAAGTCTTCAAAATCCAGGGTCTATTTTACACTTACAGCGCGTATCAATTTGAACTCTAAATTTCTATCAGAAATACTTAGATTTCAGAAAAGTTACAGTTGAAAAGTAAGCACTCCTTTCAGACAAAGGCAATAATCAAAACTGCATAGTGTGGCTTTCACCAATGAAACTGAATAGAAATTCTAGAAAGTCCTTTAAGTGTCTGGAAGTTTCTTAAAAGACTAAACATGGTGTACAACATGATCCAGCAATTGCACTCCTGGGTATGTACCGGAGAGAAATGAAAATAAATGTCTACACAAAAACTTGCACATGAATATTTATAGCAGCATTTTCTGTAAATGTCCAAAAGTGGAAACAACTCGAATGTCCATCAACTAATGACATGGATAAATAAAATACCGTATTCCAGAACAGAATATTTGGCAATAAAAAGGAATGAAACATGGATGAATCTGGCTAAGTGAAAGCCAGTCACAAATGACCACATATTGTATGATTCCATTAACATGAAATATCTAGAACAGACTAATCTATAGAGACAGAAAGTAGATTAGGGGTTGTCCAAGGCTTCAGGGAGGGAGGTTTGGGAGGTTTGGGAGTCACTGCTAATAGGTATAGGTTTCCTTTGTGGGGGATGAAAACCTTCCAAAATGGACTTGTGACAGTTGCAGATCTGTGAATACACTAAGAACCATTGAATTGTACACTTCAAATGGGGGAATTGTATGGTATGTAAATTATCTATCAATAAAGCAGCTGAAAATAAGTAAATTTAAAAAAATCCTGAAGTGGGGAAAGCTTATAATACAAATATATGAAGAATGGGCATAAATACACATAGTAGATACCCACATTTCACATGCTCAAAGCAAGTGAATTGACAACTCTCACATGAAGAAAGCAAGCTGGAAATTAACACAGAAAATGTACAACCTTATCAAAGAAGCACAACTGAAAGGGCTATGGAGTACTATTATGTGTCATACCAAATATGAATAAAAATAATAAGGCCCAACAGGTACTAGTCCTGAGATTAAAGAATGACAATACAAACTGGCAATTCAATCTCTCTAGGAAATCATTGGTGAACCTGTACCATGAATTTAAATTTTAAATTTGATCTTCTGTTACCATTTTGACCGGTATTCCTTGAACTGATGACCACAAAGGAAAAAATATCATATTATTTATCCTGGACCATGAGTTCCTAGAAGACAAGGGTGGTACCCATTCATCTCCATGTCTCCCATGCCTAGTAAAGTTCTAGAACAGAGTATGAGTTCAATAAACCCTGGCTCTTAAGTATTCAAAAATATCAATCTCAGCTTTATTTAGAATAGTGGGAAAACTCAAAACAACCCGATAGGGAATAGATAAACCAAACACAACAAAGAATGACCTCGAAGACTCTACATCAAAAAGTATTGTGGGCCTAAAAGCTTCAGACATACAAAGAAACACAATCTAGAAAATACCCTTCCAGAGCACTGTGTAAGCTATGGTTTACCCTTCCTAAGTGAGAACTAGAATTATTCTCCTCCTAATAATTCCCCACCACCCACAGAACAAAAGCCAAACTCCTCAACCTTGCCTTCGTGGACCTGTGTCCTGAGGCTTCAGTCCCTAGCCAGCATCCACCCACCACTCCCCTTCCCAGGCCTTCACTCCAGACTGATCTTACCTCTAACAGTTTTACCCCTGGGCCTTGGCTCACACAACTGCCTCTGCAGAAAGTGTGAGGCCAAGTCAAAGTCCAGCTCAAAGGTCATATCTTCCTTCTCTGATTTCCTAGCCAGACCTAAGTTCTCACATCTTGGAGCTCTGACCCTCTCTTATGGCCCCGAGCATCCAAACCTTTATTTAAAGTTATCTGACTCCATATATTGTTACCCTTAACAGACTATTTATTCCTTGGAAACAGGAACCACATTTTGTCCACCTCTGTATTTCTCACATTGTCAAGTGAAGATCTTTGCTCACGGGAAGCATCAGTGCTTATTGGGCAAATAAATGAGCAAAATACTGTACATATCTAATATGTTACTGCTAATGTAGTTGTACCTCTAATATAATTAGTGAAAAGTGAAAAGGCATATACAACCAGTAATGAACAGCAATTTGAATATAAGTAACAGAGATGAAACTTTGTCATTTTCCTTTATGTTTGCTTAACTCGATATATAGCTCAACCCTATGGCTATTGCCCTAATCAGAACTTATCTTCTCCGTGTCTCAGAGCTCAGTAAATGGTATCATAAGGATAATGACAATTGCTCAAGCCAGAATCCCAGAGTCATCCTTGACTTTCCTCCACTCTTATCCTTCAAATCACTCACAACACGAGAAGATCTCAAAAAGGGTCCATTTCTTTCCATCTCCACAGCCACCATTCTGTTTCAGGCCCCATCACCAGCCCTACTGACAGGTTTCTACTAGGCTGCTAACTGGTCTCCCCACTTTCCATTCTCATCTTTCCTGAATGATTCTCCATCTAGCAGCCAGACTGATTTTATAAACACAATTCTGTTCATGTGTTTCCCCTGACTGAATGGCATAATCCAAAATCCTGAATATGGCTTAATACAGCTCCCGCCCATCACTCCAGCCTCCAGGACCAAGTCATTCATTCTCTTTGATATTTTTGTTCCAGTCAAACTAGCCTACTCTAAGTTCCTCAAACACATTGGCCTTTGGACAAGCTCTTCCCTCTGTCTAGAATAACTCACCTGCCTCCAAAACACACACACACACACACACACACACACACACGTACATGCACACACACGCGCGCACACACACACACACACAATTTCCCCAACATATCCAATCATGCTGTCTACCTGCCCAACTCCTACTCAGTCTTCTGATTTTGGTGGAAATATCTCCTACAAAATGTACCTACAGACCAGTGCAAAGTCTCTTGTCCTCTCTGGACTAGTTTGTGTAGCAAGAACCACATATTTCTTGTCCCATGTGCTGAACTCAGTACCAGCCATAGAGTAGGGTTAATAATTGTTTGGAGAACAAAAGAAAGAACAAACCTTACTACAGGGTTTCAACAGAATCCATTTTGATGCTTTTCAAATGGGCAGGCTCCGTTATCTTCCACTTGGCAGAGTGCGGTCCTCCACAATGGTGGACAAATGACATTGCACTGTATTGACTAATCCCTGGACAGTGTCAGTGGCTTTGGCCCAAAGTCTGGATTTGACATTTTCCCCAAAGGCCATGTTCTAGCTTTTGTTTGGAAAGGGATTAACCTAAGTACATGACCAAACCATGGCCGCTCCTCATAGAGAACATTTAATATTGACAGTAAGCTAAAGGAAATGATCTCTGTAACAACATTTCCTCCTCTGAAGCATCTTATAAATATCAAACTAAGCACTGATCTCAAAACATGTTTCTGCTGCCTTTGTAATCGTTTCAAACCATAAATGTGAGGTCATTTCTGTGATCTTACACTGGAAGAACAGAAGCCCTATAGTTACACTAATGAAATTCCTGCCAGATAACTGGATCTCCCCTAAGGTAGAACCAGAACAAACATGTTACATTTATCATGAAAACAGTCTCACATAGATGAATTCTACTTTTCATAGCTCACAAGTTTATACTGAGCTGGTTAATAACACTGAAAAGGAAAACTACCAGATGGATACTGATTGCACTTCACATATTCTCTGGCTTTTTATCTGCTCTCTGATATGTTGGAAAATGTATTCTACCTCTATCCTGTAACAACAAAGAATTCACCTCCGAGTTCCAGCAGGATGTGGAGAAACAATTTTGAATCTATGTTTAAACACTTTATTATGTTCAGCTTGAGTGATTTTAAAAGCTAAATCTGGTATAAACTGGATTTCATAACGTAAAGACGATTCAAAGAAACCAGAAATAGAGGCATCAGTCTGTACCAGAAGGAAATGTAGCATGTAATCACAATCATAGGAATGCACTTGTGGTTGTAACAGTTTCTAGGGGGCCATTCACTGTGGAGATTGTGAGGGTAGTGCTCCTACAGTTGAAAGGAGAAATTCTTCCATTATTACTTTAAAAACAGGATTCAGGAAATAATGGCAACTCTGCAGATGCAGTCCAGGAGCCTTCCAGACTACCCTCAAATCTCTCTACTTTTGCCTATGGGTCAAGACACAATAAAAAAAAATTGTTGCCTAAAAGGGTCTTTCTACACCATTAATAGTATTAGAAAGGTCAACAGAATTAGAAAGGTTTTAACAAAACCATTCTTAAAATTAGTAAATAGACTTCTTATAGTTGTAATAACCAAGTAAGTTTGGAAAGTGTGTAAAACCAGCAGCAAGGGCTTCTGACACTAAGATGCCAAAATGTGTGTATATGTGTGTGTGTGTGTGCGTGCATGCATACATGTGCATGTGTGTGCCTGTGTGCATACATGCATGGGTGTGTACACATGTATGCATGTATGTGCCTTGTGTCATTGTGTGTGTAGACATGCATGTATGTTCATTAGTATTAACATTCAAGACAAGTTAAAAGAAATATCTTTTCAAGCCCTGAGGATACAACCAAGCAGTGAAGAAAGCACGATGTCACATTAAGTTCTTTATGCTTCTTTAGATCTCGCTCTATAAAACTAACATTTCTAGATTAAGCATAAGAGAATTTAGTAAATCTTGGTGGGGTGCGGTGGCTCATGCCTGTAATCCTAACACTTTGGGAGGCTGAGGCGGGCAGATCACTTCAGATCAGGAGTTCAAGACCAGCCTGGGCAACATGGTGAAACCCCGTATCTTCCAAAAATACAAAAATTAGCTAGGCGTGGTGGCGCATGCCTGTAATTCCAGCTACTCAGGAGGCTGAGGCACGAGAATCACTTGAACCCGGGAGGTGCCAGTTGCAGTGAGCCAAGATCACAACACTGTACTCCAGCCTGGGCAACAGAGCAAGACCCTATCTCAAAAAAAAAAAAAAAAGAGAGAGACAGAGAGAATTCAGTAAATCTCATGCTTATTTGTTTTAATAGTATAATAAAATGATTCTAAACTTCATATGACAGAATAGGTGGGTAAGACTAAAAGCACTGAAAATGAAGAGTAATAAAAGCTTAGTTTAATAGGTAATGAGGCTGGTCACGGTGGCTCACGCCTGTAATCTCAGCATTTTGGGAGGCTGAGGCCAGTGGATCACTTGAGGTCAGGAGTTCGAGACCAGCCTGGCCAACATGAAACACTGCCTCTACTAAAAATACAAAAATTAGGCCGGGTGTGGTGGCTCACACCTGTAATCCCAGCACTTTGGGAGGCCGAGGCAGGTGGATCACCTGAGGTCGGGAGTTCGAGACCAGCCTGACCAACATTGAGAAACCCTGTCTCTACTAAAAATACAAAAGTTAGCCGGGTGTGGTGGTACATGCCTGCAACCCCAGCTACTCGGGAGGCTGAGGCAGGAGAATCACTTGAACCTATGAGGCAGAGGTTGCGGTGAGCCAAGGTTGCACCATTGCACCGCAGCCTGGGCAACAAGAGTGAAACTCCATCTCAAAAATAAATTTAAAAAAATACAAAAATTAGCCAGGTGTGGTGGCGCATATCTGTAATCCCAGCTACGCGGGCGACTGAGGCAGGAGAATCTCTTGAACCCAGGAGGTGGAGGTTGCAGTAAGCCAAGATCGCACCACTGCACTCCAGCCTGGGCAACAGAGGGAAACTATATCTCAAAAAAAAAAAAAAAAAAAAAAAAAAAAAAGATAATGAGATGCATAATACTATTGTAACGTAAGTAATTTTAATACAGCTGTGTAAAAGTAGGCAGTTACATCAATGGAACAGAATAGCCAGCCCAGAAACAGGTCCAATCTCCCACTCACAGACGCCAGAATTTCACATACAATAAAGGAGGGGTCAGTAAAGAATGAATCAAGAAGGCAAAGATCACTCACAATTAATGGTAATATGAATGACTACTTACTAATTTGGAAAAAAAATCCAGTTAGATCGTCATCTCCTAGCATATACTAAAATAAACTCCAACTTAAAGAATTAAATATAAACATTTTAAGCTATTAAATTGAATTGAAAAACTTGTATTGGATGAAGATTTTTGTAAGCTTAGAAGCAATGAAAGAAATTGCGAAGGAAAAGAATCCCATTTAACTATGTAAATTGGTATTATTATTTTTTTTAAGACAGAGTCTCACTCCATTGCCCAGGCTGGAGTGCAGTGGCACGATCTTGGCTCACACAACCTCTGCCTCCCAGGTTCAAGAGATTCTCCTGCCTCAGCCTTCCAAGTAGCTGGGACTAGAGGCACGCGCCACAATGCCCAGCTAATTTTCGTATTTTTAGTAGAGACGGGGTTTCACTATGTTGGCCAGGCTGGTCTCGAACTCCTGACCTTGTGATCTGCCCATCTTGGCTTCCCAAAGTGCTGGGATTACAGGCGTGAGCCACCACGCCCAGCCGAAGAACTGGTAATATTAAGTGGAAAAATATACTATCATCAAATCTTTGTCATTTTATCACTTCTGTAGTCATACGAAGCTATAAAGAAGATGACAATTTGATTGAAAGCAAAAGGTTAAAAATTAATTAGTTTATGATGTAATGTCACTGTGTTGCAGCTTTTATTAAGCAGTTTGCATTGCATTATTTACACAGAAATTCAAAACATGTCACAGAGACCTTTTGGGAGGTTAGCTATTTCTTTTCTTTTCTTTTTTTTTTCTTTTTGAGACAGAGTCTTGCTCTTTCACCCAGGCTGGAGTGCAGTGGCGCTATCTCGGCTCACTGCAAGCTCCGCCTCCCTGGTTCACGCCATTCTCCTGCCTCAGCCTCCTGAGTAGCTGGGACTACAGGCGCCTGCCACCACGCCCGGCTAATTTTTTTGTTTTTTTTTTAGCAGAGACGGGATTTCACCGTGTTAGCCAGAATGGTCTCCCAAAGTGCTGGGATTACAGGCATGAACCACTGGGCCTGGCCGAGTTTAGCTATTTCTAAAAGAACATTGATACTGTAAATGTTATTTTTCCGTTGGAATATGAAATCGAGTGGTAACAGAGGAGTCATCCTTATCATATCTGCACAATTTCCCATTCCTGTAACTATAGGTCTCACCAGTTTACTCCTACCCAAACAGGGACACTCATTCAAACTAAGGGCTACCAACTGAATTTGACTAATGATTGTAACAATAACCACCTACTGAAAATTAATCTAAAATTTAAGAAATCACAGGAACTTTGAAAGTTGACACTATTCCTCAGTAAAATACCTGTTTAAGATTCTCTATAAAGCTCTAACATTACTCTGTGTGTATAAAAGTTATCAATTTGTTTAGTAATGCCTGGAAATGGAAATGGTTATTTTTGACTAATTTACTCCTAGACAACTCACTTAGAGCCACAGATAGAGTTTAAATTTTATGGGAAAAAAATGCCAAAGACAAGTAAAGCAAGTACAACTGGCTGAAACGACTGAGTTTTTAAAAGTCAGAAAAAAACAGAATTGCTAAAATATGCATGTAAAATTATGTGACTACAGATGCATATCTGTGTTTCTTCCTTCTGCACTATAGAGGACATTTCAATACACTTCCTTGATTTCTTGCCCCAGCTACCAGGAAATTCAGGGCTAATGTTAGTATTCAAATGCTAAATCCTTAGTCTCATTGGTTTGCAATCTATTTCTAACACTTCTTGTTTAATTTTCCCACATGTTTTAAAACTGTAATCATTAAAAATTCCTTTTGGAAGAAGGAGGGATGTGCATTTTAAATATATTTCAATGAATAATACAGTCCCCTACTATAAAAGCCCTTAATCAGTAAAAATTTATTGAATGTCCGTTACATACTATGGACTCTGTTAAGGCTGACGATACTTTGTGAAACAAAACAGTCAGGGTCCCTGGTCTCATATATGAGAGGAAGGTTGGGGGAGAAAAGCCATATGATGGCAGAGGTGATAATGAACAGGTAAATAAATATATATATAATTATAAAGCGTGATGAGCAGGTAAGTACCCTGGAGGAAACAAGCAAGAGAATGGACTCCCTGTGCCTTGGGTGGTCAGGAAAGGCCTCTTAAAGAAGGTGATGTTTAAATTTAACCTGATGAAGAAGGACCTGTCATAAAAACAGGAAGTAAAAGAACTTTCCAGGCCAACTGAACAGCAAGTGCAAAATCCCTGAGATAGGAAAGAGCTCGATGACTTCTAGATATTAAAAAAAAAAAAAAAAAAAAAAAAGCAAAACAATGGAGAACGGTGAGCAAGGAAAGAAGAGGAACAAGGTGAGGCTGGACAGTTGGGCTGGTGAGAGATTGTGAAGAGACTTGTAGGTCATGGCAAAATGGTAGGTGAGCCACTGAATGGTTTGGGGTGGGGTCGAGCTGGGAGCTAGCATGGGACAGGAACATTTTACATTTCGAAAAGTCCACTATAGCTGCAGAGTAGAGAATCTGCTGCAACAGGGAAAAAGCAAGTGAGTGATCCTTGCGGGGGTCCCAGGGAGAGAGAGGTGGACAGTTCTGAAGGCAAACTGATAGGAGCTGCTGATGGGGTGGATGCAGGGGATTCAAGGAGTCAGGATGATGCTCAGGTTTCTTGACCAGGCAACAAGGTGGTAGGTGGTACCATTTAGTCTATTCCTAGGAAACGAAATTATTTACCCCTCACTCAGCTTTTTCAGTTATTGATCATTTTCTAGTAATCTGAGGACACCAAAGATTACAGATGAGAAGAAATTCACACAAGGCTACAAATGATTTATCCTAGAAACATGGAAATTATGTCTTCCATGGGCAGTGACAGGAAACTTTATCTCTTTGTTTTTCTCTTTCTCAAGCACTTGGAAAGCAAAACTCCCTAGACACATGGGAAGATGTTTAATATCATTAACCACCAAGGAAATGCAGATAAAAACCACAATGAGACAACATTCCACACCCACTAGGATGGCTACAATAAAAGAGATAACAGCAAGTGTTGGCAAAGATGTAGAGGCACTGAAACTCTCACATACTGCTGGTGGAAATGTAGAATGGTATGGCCACTCTGGGAAACAGTCTGATAGTTCCTCAAAAGACTAAACACAGAGTTGTTATGTGGCCCAACTATTCCACTCCTAAGTATATACTCAGGAGAACTGAAAATATGTGTTCAAACAAAAACTTTTACACAATTGTTCATAGCAGCATTATTCATAATGGCCCAAAAGTAAAAACAACTCAAATGTTCACATCACAGACATATCTATCTATCTATCTATCTATCTATCTATCTATCTATCTATTCTTATTTGGCTTTATATATCAACCCAAATGTTTATGTTAAATCAACTGATGAATGAACAAAGAAAATATTCCATAATGGAATATTATTTGACAATAAAAAAGAATGAAATACCAATCCACACTATGACATGTCATACTGATCCATGTCAGTATGATAAGCAAAAGAAGATAAGCAAAAGAAGAACACATTATGGTAAGTAAAATAATATATTATGCTAAGCGAAAGAAGCCAGTCACAAAAGATCACATACTGTATAATTCCATTTATGTGAAATATCCAGGATAGGCAAATCTACAGAGATAGACAGTAGCATGGTGGCACGCGCCTGCAGTCCCAGCTACACGGGAGGCTGAGACACGAGGCAGAAGGCAGAGGCTGCAGGTGAGCTGAGATCACACCACTGCACTCCGTCCTGGGCAACAGAGTGAGACTCTGTCTCAAAAAAGAATAAAAGAAAGTAAATTAGTGGTTACCTGGGGCTGGCAGAGGGGAGAATAGGAAGTGACTGCTAAAGGGCACAGGGTTTCTTTTTATAGTATTGAAAATATTCTAAAATTAGATAGCAGTGATGGTTGTCACCTTTCATTTACAGTCTGTGAGAAGGCAAGATGTTAAGAGGGTTCCAAGGTCAAATATCCAGGCAACATCAAGTTAAACAGGTCTCTTTCTCTGCGAGACTTCTCAGAGCCTTTAATCTGTATTACATGCATAATGTGTATAATAAATCACCAAGTCGGGGAAGGCAGAAGTAGGATATAGGATGCATCATTTCCCAAACATGTATGGCCACAGAATCTCTTTTAATGGAGCAGCATCACACAGGACTAGGTTTTGCAGACCCCACTGTGGGAAACAATGTGCTTAGCAGTTTTTCCATTCATTCATCAGGCACTACCTGACCACCTACAACACTCATGCAAGACAATCACTTCTGGGCCATAGAGATGAAGCCAATACTTTCCTGGACCTCACAGAAGGCAGGTCTAGGAGAAAGGAAATGAATGGGCTCGAAAAGTTGAATGCACCAGGGGGAGCACAATGCCAGTGCTACAAATAAAATACTACGGGGTCCTATGGAGAAATTCATCCTGACTCTAGACAGAGGAAGGCTTCATGGAAGACCCAGCACTTCAGCCAAGCCTTAAGCTGCGGGGGGTTCTGGCCACATGGAGATGGGAGGAAGGGATATGGCCCAGGAGCCCAGGTCCAAGGGGTGAAAGAGAAGAGAGGGTGCTTGTAGTAGAATAATAAGTGTTCCCTTTAGCTGGAGCATACTGTGAAGGAAGCAGAGTAGTAAGACAAATAGCTGGAAAGGATTGCAGCTTGAAACGTCAGACCAAAAATGTTTAAGCTTCCTCCTATAATAAATGGGGACCCATCCAAGCTTTCTGAGCATTGGGTAAGAGTGGTCCTAAACAAGTCACTCTATGAGCCTTAGGTGTTTCATCTGTAAAAGGGAGCCCCATTTTATCTGACCTCGGTGTGTGAGGATCAGAGAACTTGGCCACAGGGCAGTGGAGCCCTGAGCAAAGTTTATTACTCAGCAGCAGAACAGCTGTTTCCAGTTCCTTTGGAAGAATGTGTGTCTCAGAAACACCTGACACGTGATATTTCATCTCTGTGGCAGGGCCAGATGGGAAATCCAAGCAAAAATGAACGCTTCGAAACAGAACATATTTGAAAGTTCTCCTGTAGCAGTCAAATCAGATCTGTATTTGATTTCATTTTATTTTGTTTAGAATGACATAGGGACTGCAAGGAAGGAACAGCTGCTGGAAACGAAGACACAGAAAGACACAGAAGACACAGAAAGAATATAAACGGCAGATTACCTGACCTTCATGTCAAGTACTAAGACAAGAGGTGTGTGTCTCTATGTGTGTGTGTGTCTGTGTGTGTGTCAGAGAGAGATCAAAAGAGTGTATGTATGAGTGTGTGCTCCAGAGAGTGTATATGCATGTGCGTATGAGTATGTATGAGTGTATTTCTGTGTGTATGTCTGTGTGTCAGTGTGTTTGTAAATGTTGTAAGTGTGTGTGAGTTGGGGTGTCTCTGTGTGTGTGTAGGTACATGTTGGGGGTAGGGTACAGGGAAAAGCACTCCAGCAAAATTGCTGACCTGTTTACACTGCTCCCACCATATGGTGTAAGAACAAAGCAAGCCGGAGACAGCAATCCCAAGGTGCGGCCAGGACCAGCACAAGCTCCTCCCCCGGGACACCAGACCTTTATAGACAGAAATCTGCAAACTCAGGAGGCTTACCGGGCCGAGCTGTCCCGGGAGCGCCGAAGCCATCTTGCCACCATTTGTTCTATTCTATGTGCTTTCCGTGTCTGGAATAAACTGGTCTCCAGCTCTTCCATTTACCTAAAAGGAAGAAGAGTGTTCTTAAGATGCTAACCAAAATACTCTAAAGAGGATTTTGATAAATCAGGACGATGCTTCCTTTATTTGCCCATTATAAGACATGCTAATCGAATAACTAGTGTTCTCCCTTAGTCTAAAATCAACATAAACAGGTGCTCAATGTTCACAGAGTGAACAACTTTAGCAACCCTCAATCTTGCAGCAAACAGACTGGGTTTGTATCTTAAACAGTTAAACATAAGGATGAGAGAGTAAAATAGATAACGTTTCTCAAACTTTGTGACTGTGACCCATAGGAAGAGATACACCTTACCATGTGACACCGTCCTTCCCTCTCCCAACTATGTGTGCAACCCTGGACAATGCGGTTCAGTTTTGCCTGCATCAGGAACCCCATGGACATGGAAGCATTCTTCATCACATTGTGCAGATTCCTCTGAGCGCTGCTGCTTTTGTTCAATCTTTTATACTTAATTTTTGAATAAGTATTTCACTTACATAATTCAACACTAGCTTATAAAAAAGATAGTTACTGTATTGTGTGCTTAAAAATTTAAGAGGGTAGATCTCAAGTGTTCTTATCATAATAAAAAATATGTAGACAGTGAAAAGTCTGTCTTATATCCTTCCTTGCTCCTACCCACCCAGTTCCCATGCCCATACATAATCACTGCTCTTGTTTTCCATTTGTCCTTCCAGAGTTTCTTTTCTTTTCTTTTCTTTTCTTTTTTGAGATGGAGTCTCGCTCTGTCACCCAGGCTGGAGTGCAGTGGCACGATCTTGGCTCACAGCAACCTCCACCTCCCGGGTTCAAGTTATTCTCCTGCCTCCTCAGCCTCCCGAGTAGCTGGGACTACAGGCACATGCCTCTGCACCTGGCTAATTTTTGTATTTTTAGTAGAGATGGGGTTTCACCATGTTGGCCAGGCTGGTCTTGAACGCCTGACCTCAAGTGATCTGCCCGCCTTGGCCTCCCAAAGTGCTGGGATTATAGGCATGAGCCACCACACCCAGACTGTCTTATTCTTTTAAAAAAATTATCTTGGAACACTTTTAGATGTATAAAAAGTTTGCAAAGATAATATAGGGTTCCCATATCCCTTCATTCAGCTTTCCCTAATATTAACATCTTACATAATTATTTTACCTTTGTAAAAATTAAGAAATTAACATTGGTACGATATTATTAACTGAACTATAGACTATGTTCAAATTTTACCAGTTTTTCACTAATGTGCTTTTTCTGTACCATGATCCAATCTAGGGGTGCTGATTTGCCCAGTGGCTCAGGAATTAGGGGCAGTAAGTACAGGAGAAAGCAAGGATGAGCATAAGGTTGAAAATATGGAAATACCTACCTAGACAACTATCTCTTTCCCATCCTACTGAAGATAAGAGGCTTATTTTCTGGAGAAAACGAACAAGAGAAGCTTGGGGAGACTAGGCACAATAGACGGTACAGGAATTAAAATAGAAGAAGTAAGTAAAACTCTTCTAACTGAATGACAAGACCTCTTCCTGTGCCCAGTTCTCTGAATACTGTCAGCGAGTACTTTATATCCTGCTATGGTTTGAATGTGTTCCTGAAGTTCATGTGTTGAAAACTTAATTTCCATTGCAACAGAGTTGAGAGGTGAAACTTATAAGAGGTGATTAGGTCATGCAGGCTGTGTCCTCATGAATGAATTAATGCCATTACTGTGGGTGTGAGTTCCTGATAAAAGGATAACTTTGGCCTCTTTCCACACTCTCTTGTGTGCTCTTTTGCCCTTCCACCTTCTTCCATGGGATGATACAGCAAGAAGGCCCTTACCAGATACCAGCACCTCAATATTAGACTTTCCAGCCTCCAGAATTGTGAGAAATAAATTTCTTTTCTTCATAAATTACCCAGTCTGTGATATTATATAGCAACACAAAACAGACTAAGACATGTCCCAAGCAAAAGATTAGAGAATCCTTCTCTGGAGGACTGAATAGCACCAGAGAAAAGACCTTCAGATATTGACATTTTCGGGATCCCTGCAGGGAAAAGGTAACTTGCTGCCAGATCATCTTGCATTGAAATGTATTAATCAATGAGCCAGACCCATCATACAAAGTTTCCAATTATTTGTTTTACTGCTTTACTCTTACTTATCAATAAATATCTAAGGAAAGCATGCATTATAAAAAACAGACCAAAACAAACAGAAAAATTCAGAAGAAACAGAGACAATGTAGAAAACAGAAGAAAAAAAATTTCAATCTATAACTTAAATCTTCAAAAAGATAAAGTATTATATTCATGAAACAAGAAGAGGATTTTTTAAAAATAAACTATCAGAGAATAAGAACGAACATTTGGAAATTAAAAATAAGGCAGCTAGAATAAAAAATTCAATTATTAATAAAAACAGAAAAATAAAGTCAATGAAAGACTGTAGGAAGAGTAACCAAAGCCAAAGACAGAGAAAACATAAAAGACAATAAGTGTACAGTACCTGTCCAGGAAGTGTAATATTCATCTAACAGAAGTTCCAGAAGTAGAAAATAAAGGAAATGGAGGTAAGGAAACTGCCAAATAATTCAATAAAAATTTCTTGAAGAACTTAAATTTTCAAATTAAGAATATATACTAATTGCCCACCCTAGTGAATGAAAAAAGACCCACATCAAGTAACAACATTGTAAAATTTCAGAAACTAGAAACAGAAAATATCTTCTAAACTTCCAGAGAGGAAAAAAAAAGATTACATACAAACAAATGAAATTAAAAATGGCACTAAACTTCTCAGTAATAACAATGGAAGCTGGGAGCCATTGAAGTTCTCAAATTTTTTAGGGAAAAGCATTCCCAGTCTAGAATTCGATACCCTATCAAACTACCAATCAAGTACAAAAGACATTTTTAGATGTTCAGGTCTCTAAAAATTTACCTTTCACACATCCTTTCTCAGGATGCTGACAGAGGATGTGCTCCTCCAAAACAAGGAAGTAAGGACAAAAGAAATGAGATCCAGCATATTAGGAATGGAATATAGATAAGAGGCAAAATAAGCATCACGGATGACTGTGAAGGCATGCATTAAGGTAACACCTGTATAAAAGACCTAGAGAGCAACTGTTGAGATGCATGAAGACAGAGGTCTTAGGGAAAAGAAATAGAAATGGATAAGTTATCTGATGTGTTTGTGTAGAAAATTTCACTGAGAGGCTGTTGGAGGGTATGGGAGAATTAGCAATAAGTACATGAAAAACTAAGCAGATCAAAAACAGAGGGAATTATGAAATCCAAGGAAAATAAAAAGTTGTATAAGAAAATAAAATTATAGTTCACTGCTTGGCTCAACAATGAACAATATTTACATTGTCATGATAATGTAAACACTGAAAAATGGTTTCTAAAGGACAGTGATGTAATGATATTGGAACGATATGGTGAAGGGAAGCAAGTGCAGTAGCCTAAGAGCTAAATCCTCATTTATCATAATAATTAGATAATGTCCAAAATTAATACATTAGAAAATAAGAATGCAAGCATATTTCTAAGAAATATGCAGGAAAATACCAGAGGAAATGGCTAGAAGAGTTGAAAGAGCTTCTAAGAAGAGAAATTCAAGGGTGAGGAGGAGTGGGGCAGGAAATGCTGATTTCTATTATAAACCCTTAATACTATTTTATTAAATGATTTTTAATAATGTTTAACTTAGTTTTAAAAACCGAAGGAATATATTCTTCTAATAACATACACAGAAAAATATAATGAAAATAAAATCACTTACAATTAGCTACAATCACTACCTCCCAATTAGCAAGTTAATTTTTCATCATTTTTTATGCTTACACATGTATAGATGTTTCTTAATTAAAATTACATCTTCCCACTTATGATTTCATAAACATCATTGCATATTAATATTTAAGCATTTACACCATCATTTAAAATGGTTATATGGTATTATTTTCTCTGATCATACCATAATTTATTTAATAAATCTATCATTGGACATTTGTGATGTTTCCAATTTCTCACTATTATGAAAGCTTTACAATAAAAATCTTTATTCATGGCAAATGGCTACTTCCCAGATATTTTTGGGGGGATAAATTCCTAGAAGTGAAATTATTGGACATAAACATATGTTCACTTTTAAGAATTTGGATGTATATTGTCAAATTGCCTCCAAGAAGTTACCAATTTGCACTCCTGCCAGGACAGACCTTTTGAATATTATCACTTAAAAAAAATTTGCCAGTAGGATGGAAATTATTGACTTAAAGATTTATATTTTGAAAAATACAGAAGACAAAAGTAAATTATCCTCCATATTCTTATAAAAACTAGACATTGTCATTTGTTAAAATATTTGTTAATGGGATTGAAAGTAGCATTCAATTATTGGCTTAAATATATATTTATATATAATTAAATATATATTTGTAAATAGGAAATGTATATACTTGTATATATGTTTCCCATATAAAAATATATTTCTTGTATATATAGGAAAATATTTTAAAAATTAAATATCACACATAAATCCATCACATTGAAAATTACATAAAATAAGCATCCTACTTCAAGCATCCAACTCATTCCCCTAGAGGTTAACACAGTTAACAATTTGGTATGTATTCATACTATCTTTGTCCTGAATTAATAGAGACCTATATCATGTATATTAATACATCTTTTCTACAAAAATAGAATGTTATACTCAGTAGTCTGCACTTTGTATTTTTTAACCTGCAAATGTATCCTGTATATCTTTCCAGATCAGAACTCATCACAGCTGTGATTGGAAGTTATTTGATTACTAGCACAGCTCAACATTTTTCATGTGCTCTTGGCCATTTATATTTACTTCTTATTACTTTACTGTTTCTGATTTTTCCTTATTTTTCTGCTGGAATGTTTGCCTTCTTGTCGCCAATTTGTAAAAGCTCTTTTATAATAAGGATTATTTAATGTTCCTTTGCCAAGAACACAAAATAACATCATATTTCTTTGAGACTTACCATGGAGGATCAAGAATGTAGGTTATAGTGTCCTGACAAAACAGAGACTAAACACAGAAGACAGAAGAACAAATGTCTAGCAAAAGCCATGGGATATTGTTTTCAAATATCAACTGCCCCAGTTGGGCCCCCTCTAGGATCGAGTCCGTTGGAAATTCTAGGATATTGATATTAACTTGGTCTGTCTTATGTCTGAGCATCACGCTTTCCTATGGGGTCTAGGAAAGGAGATTTAAAAGCAAGTCATATGAAAACACACTGAAAAATCAAAGAATGTTTATTAAATAAAAACTTGGGGGTGGCCCACACGATCATGGTTCACAAAGAGCCTAAGGGCCACCATGTGGAAGACACATATTCCACATGATTCTGGAATTTAGAGACAGGATTAACGGGGAAATGCCACAGCGTGGGGGACTCCAGCTCAGACTAAGGCAAGAAATTCATGTTCCTGGTAGATCCCAGCATGGAATGAGTTTCCTCAAGAATTGTTAAGATCTTGGACGCTGAAGGTATTCCAGGGGAGCCTGCATAAACTGCATGAATATAGCAGAAGGGACACGAGGATGACGTAGAGGGACACATCCATGGAATACATGGAGCAGATGACTTCTACAGTTCCTTCCATTCATGCAATCTGAGGTCTCCACTAGATCTAAGAGCCAGGCAAGATGGTATCTGTTGCAGTCTGTCTCAAAATTCAAAGCCCCACATTACCTAGAGTAGTTGGAAATCCTGAAGTAAGCACAGCACTGGAAGAGGCACAATGTCTGACCTCTACATTCTTATAGTTTCCACATGATTGCAGAGTTGTCAGGGATCTCGAACATATCCATAGGACTGAAGGCCATCGAGCCTTTCCACGCCTTTTGAAGGTCTTCAAACTACAGTGGTTACTTTTTAAGAAACTGCTGCCAAATATAATTTAGCTAATTGGTTTCTATAAACATACATGGTTCTAATTAAGAGAATTAATTTGTGTTATATATCTGGACTGTGAGTAGGCAGGTACCTTCATCCAGGGATCCCCAAAGACTAAACAAATGCCTACATCAACCAAGCCATTAAAAGTGCTCCCTGACTCAGCAAGGTCTGAGCAGGAGAGTTTAAAGTCAAGAGAATGACCTGCTAATGGTTTTAATGTTAGCCTCTGGATTGCTGGGCTAATGGAAGGAAGTAAATGTCCACATCATCCAAAACGTTTGAATCTTCTCTACGGTCCCACTGCCAAGAAGTCATCTGGCCTCTTATGTTCTGTCATTCCCTGTTGGACCCATCTTATTGTTAGAAAGTTTCTTTACATAAAGCTGAATTCCACTCGTCTGCAGCTTGAGTCCTCCACACCAATGCTGCCCTCTGGCCACTCCTACCACCACCGCCCAGAATAAATCAGCTTCTTTTCTGGATTCAAACATAGAAATCTTTCAGCCTTTCAGTCTCCTTTGCCCCAAATCAAACATCCTCAGCTCCTTCAACAGTTCCTTGTAATACAAGATCTTTTTAGAGCACACATCAACTTGGAAAAATATCTTAAAAGGCATGGACCCTCAAATTGAACACAATTCTGGTTGCCTGGAACAATGTGAATATAAAAAGGCAAACTCTCTCAAAATATTTTGTAAATGGAGAAGACTAAATATGTCAAGGTGATAGCTATTTTAAATGCAAACAGACAATTAAGGTTATAAACCCTTCAAAAGGGATACAAAAGGTGATAATAAAAGACTTCAGGAAACTAGCACAAGCTATTGAGAAATGAAAACATCAGTGGAGGCAGCAAAGGATAAAAAAGAAACTAAAGTGCCCAAAATCACTTGCGCTAAATTGAAATTGTAGATAAAACTAGAGAGCACTTCAAGAAAAACTGTCAGGCACAGAATCAGTTGAGGATTTCAACTCACAAATAATAGGGCTAGCGGAGAAAATGGAAAAGGAACACACAAAACTGTAACCAAAGAAATGGAAGGCAAATTTTTTTTTTTTTTGAGACGGAGTCTCGCTTTCTCGCCTAGGCTGTAGTGCAGTGGCAAGATCTCGGCTCACCGCAATCTCCGCCTCATGGGTTCACGCCATTCTCCTGCCTCAGCCTCCCGAGTAGCTGGGACTACAGGCGCCCGCCACCACGCCCGGCTAAATTTTTTTTTTTTTTGTATTTTTAGTAGAGACAGGGTTTCACCGTGTTAGCCAGGATAGTCTCGATCTCCTGACTTTGTGATCCGCCCGCCTTGGCCTCCCAAAGTGCTGGGATTACAGGCGTGAGCCACTGCGCCCAGCCGAAAGGCAAATTTATTAAGCTGAAAAATATGTTTCAAAAATAAAGAACACAAAATACAACTCTCAGGTATGCCACAAGGAAGACTCTTCACATATCAACTCAAATTTTTAAACTGCAAAGATTAAAGAATCATCCTTAAAACTTGTTTTAAAAAAGGAAAAGAGAATGATCATTTGAAAAAGAAAGATTATGTTCATGTATTTTGCAGCACATTATTCAGGTATTGACTCAAGTTCATTATCTTTCTCTCTGGGAGATGTAAAAGTTTTACAAGTGCTACTTGAGACACTGTTCTTGAAAGACATCTTGGCTGGGTGCGGTGGCTCATGCCTGTAATCCAAGCACTTTGGGAGGCTGAGCAGGGAGGATTGCTTAAGCCCAGGAGTTGAGACCAGCCTGGGCAACATAGTGAAATCCTGTGTGTACTGAAAATAAAAAAAGTTAGCTGAACGTGGTGGTGCACACCTGTAATCCCAGCTAATCGGGAAGCTAAGGTAGGAGGATCACCTGAGCCCAGGAGGTTGAGGCTGCAGTGAGCCATGACCATGCCACTGCACTGTAGCCTGGGTGACAGAGTAAGACCCTGTCTCAAAAATAAAAAAAAATTGGGGAATCATGACTGACTCTTTCCCTGTTTTGTGCCCCACATTGATTCAGTCACCAAATTCTGTTGACCTTGGTCCCAATTGTCTTAATCTCTCATCTCCTCTCCTTTCTCAGTGCTACTGCCTGAGTTCAAACTTTCATTCTATCTGACGTGCTACAATAACCCCCAGCCAGTCTCCTTACTCTTCATCAATCTGTCCTCCATGTGACTGCCAGAGTGATATAAAACGTAATTCTAATCACATCCCTTTTATTTTCAAAAATCCCCCAGTGGTTCCCCTTCATCTTTAGGATAAAGTCTGAGCTCAAGAATTATAGTAATATCAGTAACACAACTATGCTAACAACATTACCACTTACTATGTGCCATGCACTAGCTAAGCAATGTATACAGGTTATCTTATTTAATGCTTATAATAATTCTCATTTACAAAAAAAGGAAACTGAGGCATGAAGAAGTTAAGTCACCTGGCTAAGCACACACAGCAAAGAAGTGGCAGAACTGGAATTAAAAATCAGATTAGCTTGCTTGTCTCTGAAGCTGGACTCAGCCATTCCATCCCACTGCCTCCCCCCAGCCTTGGGATGGCAGCCAAAGCCTTTTGTGATCTGGCCCTGCCTACCCGCCAACTTCATCTCCCCCACACAACACTCTGCAGAACTGTATTACCTGTTGTTCCCCCCAAAGCCTTTTGCGATCTGGCCCTGCCTACCCGCCAACTTTATCTCCCCCACACAACACTCTGCAGAACTGTATTACCTGTTGTTCCCCGCAAAGCCTTTTGCGATCTGGCCCTGCCTACCCACCAACTTCATCTCCCTCACACAACACTCTGCAGAACTGTATTACCTGTTGTTCCCCCCAAAGCCTTTTGTGATCTGGCCCTGCCTACTTGCTAACTTCATCTCCCCCACACAACACTCTGCAGAATTGTATTACCTGTCGTTCCCCCCAAAGCCTTTTGTGATCTGGCCCTGCCTACCCGCCAACTTCATCTCCCTCACACAACACTCTGCAGAACTGTTTTACCTGTCATTCCCCCCAAAGCCTTTTGTGATCTGGCCCTGCCTACCCGCCAACTTCATCTCCCTCGCACAACACTCTGCAGAACTGTATTACCTGTTGTTCCCCCCAAAGGCTTTGGTTTCTCATGCCCTCGTGTCTCTGCAGATACTGTTCCTTTGCCTAGTCCATACTCCCTGCCTGCACACCCATCAAATTCCTACTCACACTTCAATGAACAGGCACAGTAGTGTACTGGATTTGCACAGAACACTCCCCTCTACAGTCTGTTTTCTCATCTGTAAAAACAATGATAATGATCCCTGCCCAGCCTATCAGTCAGGGTTGGTGTAAGGCTTACATTCCATTATGCTGTGACAATGCTTTGAAAACTATAAAGTTCTACGGAAATATGCCCAAGAAACATCTCTTTTTCTGAGGTAGTGTGAGCTCAGTTGTGTGACCAAATTTGTGTGTGGCAAAAGTTTGAAGTAGAAGAAGTCTATTTCTGCCACAAAAAGGAATGAGGTCCTGATGCATGGTACAGCATGGATGAACCTTGAAAGCATTATGCTAAGTGAAAGAAGCCAGATACAAAAGGCTACATGATTTCATATAAATGTCAGATTCCATTTATATGAAATGACCAGAACGGGTAAATGTATAGAGATAGAAAATTGATTAGTGGTTGCGAAGGCAGTGGGGGAGGGAAATGGGAACTGACTGCTAATGGGTAAGAGATGTCTTTTTAAGGTGATAAAAGTGTCCTAGAATTAGACAGTGGTGATAGCTGCACAATTTTGTGAATATTCTAAAAACCACTAATCGTATAATTTAAAGGGTCAATTTGATGGTATGTGAATTGTATCTTAATTTTAAAAAGAAAAGAAAAAATGTTTATTTCTGGTGCCCAGCTTCACCCTTCTGTCCTCCTTTCCTTGACAGTAAGTAATAACCCCAACTCTGTAAGGAATCTGTTTTTCTCACCTTTCCACCATTTTTTCTTAGTAAAACCCTATAAGCATTAGAAGCACCTGGAAGACTGGTTAAAGCATGGATGTCTGAGCCACAGAGTTTCTGGTTCAGGAGGTCTAGGGTAGGGCCCAAGAATTTGCATTTCTAACCTCCCTCCAGATAAAACCTAGGGAATGCTGAAAAGAGCACTGAACTAGATATTAGGAGACCTGGTTTCCTTCCTGGCTTTGCCTTTAATTAATCCTAGAATTGCACAAGTTGTCAAGCCTCTGGTTAACCCTTTATCTTAACATTGCATTTTTCTAAGTATCTGCCAATTGTAAAATTGTATTATCTTGTCACTTAAGTCTTCCAGGGATCCCCATCCCTAAAATCCAACATCTTCCTGGATGTCCAACTCTATCTCCCACTATTGCCCCCAAAACACTGCTCTCTTGATCAATTTGGGGAAGGAGGGAAACTAACATTTTCACCTGTAGATTTCATTCACTCCTCATGACAACCCCACATAGTGGGAATCCATAACTCCATTTGGAAGACAAGACATTGAGGCTTGGAGAGGTTAAAAAACTTCCTCAAACTGGCCAAGGGGAACCCAAGGCCCATTCTTCTCCTGTCAAGTAATTCTCTGTTCCAAAGCTTCTCTGCCTCTCAAAAAAAGCCCCTAGGTAGCCCTTCTTGTGTCTTTGTTCTGATCTCTCCCACTTTCTAGGACTTATTCAAATCCTATGTAACTGTCAACACTTAGCTCAAACCCACCACATTTAGGACGAGTTCCTGGCCACCCGCCTACCATGTTTCACCAGGTTCCCCAATCACAGAGCTGCTGTGTAGTCTTGCTCTTCCATACAGCCTGTGATCATCTCCTTTATGCTCTTGTCTTGTGTTTTCTAACTTCGTATGGATTCAGGTCTTGTTTTCTGTCCCTCAGATTGTAAACTCCTTGAGGGTAGGGGAGAAAAGTACCCTGTTTCTTTACAATCCTTGCAGAGCCTAGCAGAATGCCTTCAGCTCAATCGAGATTTGTTGAATTAATAATGGCAAGTTACAGATGTCTGAAATGCTATGCTAAGATGAGAACCCCAGAACAATAAGCAGCTATAACTATGGAACCTTCTAAGCCCAAAGGAAAAGTTATTGGCAGATATTTTAGGGAAGTTCACATTACATTTCCAATGTCAATCATTTGATGTTGCCTTGGTTCATTACCGTGATCATAGCTTAGTGAGTGATAATGGGCTCACACATCTGCATGAATTTCTTAAAAAGAATTCAGATTGCTATGACACTTTATCAGGAAAATGACATTCTTAGAAAGGAAGGAAGGGGGACTTATCTATTAGACCACATGATTATTCCTCAAAGTGCAGTTACAACCAGGACCCCAGGAAGGAGTTTCAAACCTCTCTTCCCTACTCAGGGATCTCAGTCAAGTCTTTCACAGTAACACAGGCCCTGATATTTTAACCTCACACGTCATTTCACCTGTGGCCATAAGAAGCTGAGATAAAGCCAATTGTTTATTTTCTTTTTTCTTTTCTTTCTTTCTTTTTTTTTTTTTTTTTGAGACAGAGTCTGGCTTTGTCTCCCAGGCTGGAGTGCAGTGGCCCCATCTTGGCTCACTGAAGCCTCTGCCTCCTGGGTTCAAGTGATTCTCTCACCTCAGCCTCCAGGGTAGCGGGGATTACAGGCACGTGCCACCACGCCTGGCTAGTTTTCTTATATTTTTAGTAGAGACAGGGGTCTTGCTATGTTGCCCCAGCTGGTCTCGAACTCCTGGCCTCCAGTGATCTACCTGCCTTGGCTTCCCAAAGTGCTGGGATTACAGGCATGAGCCACTGTGCCCAGCCCAAATTGTTTCTTTTCATTTCTTATTTTGGGATGGCACTACATATCATTCTTCTTCCTCCTCCATCTTCCCTTCCCTCCTTTAAGTCTCTCTCTCCAACAGGAACCCCTCCCCTCTTTTTATTATAGAAAAGGGCATTGAATACCTGAAAGGCGGTTTATCATGGACCAGAGAAAAAACAATGCTCACAGCTGGTTCTCTAGGTTCTCTGAGCCTTTCATTCACGTCAAGAAGTTCTGGCTGCCTGCATCCTCTGCCATCTCACCTTGCCTTGCACACCAGATGAAAAGGAGATGCAGGAGGTGGGAAAGCACCCTGGACCCCCATCACCCCAGGGTGGCATTCCCCAAATGATGGTTGACCTCAAACTGCCCTCCTGACTTTTGCCATGTCAACAAACTGCCAGACCACCACACCTGCAAAACATGGTCTGCGTAAAACAGATTCTATAATACAGTGCCTCTCGTTTTAGCTTCATCCTAGACAACAGTATTCATTCAACCACAGGTTTGATCATGCTGGATATGTTTTTTTCTTGGTGCACATTAAAATAAATATATAGCAATTTAAACGAAAAGCACTCATTCACATATCCACTAAGATAGTCTTGAGTGTCGTGTGGTACAAAGACAAGCCTTCGGGAACACTAGTTCAGGGCATCGTCATGCCCCTCACATTTCCCATCTGCCTAACAGGATTAGACATCTCTTAGAAAGGGCTTAGCCTCTTATCTAGCTCAGTACAGATGGTCTCTGCATGGCCCTTCGAGAGCTACAGGGTGGCAACAGGAACAGGCAGATCTAATAGGGATCCAGGCTGTGCCTTTCTCTTGCTAGGGATCTGAGGGGATGGGGACCCAGGCCACTCCTAGTAGAAGACTGGAAGTTGGTCACACAAGTCATCCACTTTACCAGATAAACAGTATCCCTAGAAAGGGTGTGGGAAAGGGCTGAAACGAACACCAATGCCAACACTGGTGGTGTTGATGTGATCTGTAAGGCCTCACATCACCATGTCTGTCTTACTGCTTACCCTCAAGCAGCCTCAGTGATGGATGGCAAATGACACTGCTGAGTCAGCTGCGGCTGCTGAACCCCTTGTCTCCACCCTGGTGCAGGGAAAGAGCACTGTGCAGGGAGACAGGAGACCAGCAATCAGGTTCCTGCTCTGCTCCCAACTGGACATGTGACCCAAGTCACATCCCTTCCCTCCGTGTCTGTTTTCCTACCTGTAAAGGTAAGAGTTACATATGGATAAAATTTGAAAATACTGTGCTTCCTGAAAGGAGCCAGTCACAAAAGACCACATATTCTATGATCCCATTCATATGAAAGTCCAGTAGGGAACTCTGTAGAGACAGAAAAGAGATTAGCGGTTGCTTAGGGTTGGGGAAACAGGGCATGGAGGAGTGATAGTGAAAGAGTAAAAGACTTCTTTTAGAGGAGATGAAAATGTTCTCAAGTTGACTATGCTGATGTTAGTACATATCTGTGAATATACCAAAACTTCTGAATTGTATGCTTTGAATGAGTAAATTGCATGGTATATGAATTATATCTCAATAAAGGTGTTTTACAAAAACAAATGCCATAAAAGGAGAAAAAGAAAAGTGATGGGGTTAGAAACATGACCTCAAAGCCCTTTCAAATCAGAAGTTTCTGACTCTCTTTAAGCAAACTACAGTTCCCCAAATGCTTCTGGCCACCAGACTTATCAGTTTTGGGCAGACTGCTGCTCTCTCAAAAGATGTTTGTCACCCAACAAACATCTGGCCCTATGCCAATGTCTGTGGGGAGCAAGAAGATGCAACCACAGTGTCTGCCCACCAGGAGCTCCAACACACAGTAGATGGCAAGACCATGAGAGAGGGCTGCATGGAGGGGAGGGGCTCAGAAGAAGGGGGATCACCTCTAGGTCAGGGGAGCACCGAGATTAGAGGCTTCTCCATGCCAGAAGCACCTGTGCTGGGCCCTAAAAGGCTGATGAGGACCACAGGGCCTGAGTAGCCTACTTGGAAAAGCTAAGGGCCCAGGCCAAGTGCAGTCTATCTGGGGCTATTCTGGGCCCTGCCCTGACTTGGGAGGCTCACACAGAACATTAGGTTCCTGGAAAGTGTTTTGATGGCAGAGGTGCAGCTGACTCTGCAGTGACTCCAGGTCTTGCGATACCTTCACTTCCTTCATTTATTCTATAGATATTTATTCAGTATCCTCTATGTGCCTGGCACTGTTCTAGGTCTTGGGAGTCATTAGGAGCAAAAAAGACAAAAATCACTACTCTTGTGGAGCTTACATTCTAATACAGGTTCTCACTAGACAAGAAACAATGAACAAAAAAGGAAATTAAGACTGTTAGAAAGTGGTAAGTACGCCGGGTGTGGTGGCTCGTGCCTGTAATCCCAGCACTTTGGGAGGCTGAGGTAGGTGGATCACTTGAGATCAGGAGTTTGAGACCAGCTTGGCCAACAGGGTGAAACCCCATCTCTACTAAAAATACAAAAATTAGCCAGACGTGATGGCACATGCCTGTAATCCCAGCTACTTGGGAGGCTGAGGAAGGAGAATCACTTGAACCTGGGAGGTGGAGGTTGCAGTGAGCCGAGATTGCACCACTGCACTCCAGCCTGGGCAACAGATTGAGACTCCATCTAAAAAAAAAAAAAAAAAAAAAAAAAAAAGTGGTAAGTACTAGAGGGGAAAAGAGATAGAATCAGCATCGATGCCTTGAAGCTGGAGGTCATGGGTAGGCAGAATTTTATTCACTCTGAGATCTCCCACACATATCTCCAGAGAGCTCTAGGGTTCTGCCCTTTCTTTCCAATTCTCTGAGTCAAATCTCCAGCCAAGGGCTTAGCCACGACACATCTGGACAAATGTCACCATGGGTCCTGTTTCCATTTCTTCCTCTCTGAATCAATGCTAATATCCACAGATTCAAGAAACACTCAATGATCATCAACAATTTGCCAAGTACAGGGGCTGTGGGGGACACTGAGATAAGCAGGCACAATTCTCACCCTCAAGGAGCCTGCATTTCACCAGGGAAGTCAGACACATACACACCTAATCAGAATTCAAAGCAAAAGAAAGGAAGTGATCTGCTAGCAATGTGAGCAAAGGTTGCAAGGTTTTTGAACCATGGTCTGTAGTTTTCAAAGCACTCTCATGGGCAGATGATCTTGTTTGGTGGTCACGTCATGGTATTCCTCCTTCCAAGCTTTCACAGTGCACTACTGGACTCACAGTTCTTCCCCAGTGACCTTTCATGTCAACAGCACAGGCCTTATCATGTCCTAGTTCCAACCCCGACTCTCACTAACCTTGTGCTAACCTTGCATCCTTGGACAAGTTCCCTTAGCCTCCCTGAGCCTGTACTGTCATCTGTGAAATGGGGCTGACTTCACCTGCCCCACAGTAAATTAGATAATATATGTGAAGTTCTACCAGAATGCATGGCACAAAGAAAGTCCTCAATGACAGCAGCTATGATGTTATTCTTCATTTCAGAAGGTTAGACTCCCAGAGTTCTAGCCCATATGAAGCTGCTTGCCACCCTGGTGGGCTGAGATTTGACTCCACATTTCTGTGTCTGGGTAAGGAAGGCAGGATTACAAACCTATCATACTAATAAACAGTAACAACCACCACCACAGCACAAGCAACCAAGAATGGCTTGCAGGGCTGGGCCCAGGACATGCCTCGCAGAACTCTTGCCCATGACTATGACATCAAGGCTCTGTCCTGACTTTGAGGTTCCTTCCCTGAAAGTCCTCACCCTTTTCATAGACTTGTTGCTGGCCATGGGTTTGCGGGCCCCTAGACTCTGCATTTTTCAATTCCAGTCCCTGGACTCTAGACTCTACTTTACAGGTCTGCAGCCATCTCAAATTAAGGGATTTGGTCCAAAAGTAAATGCAATTCGTTCCATTAGATCCTCTTTCCTCTGGGATCTGTGCTGAGTGTGGTAGAGGAGATCAAGATTAAGCAGACACAGCCCTTGCCCTTTGGGTGTTCATCGTGTTATAGAGAAGACAAGCCACATAGAAAACTCCTAACCAATATAAGGCAGAGAGTGGGGCCCATAAGAACGGGCTGTCTAAAATGCTATAGGGAGTCTAGGAAGAGCTCCTGCCAACAGCAGGGCAGTGTGTGTCTCGCTCATCTCTGCATGGGGCTTAGGAACGGCTGATTGCTGTCAGGCGGCCAAGAATGCCAGATGCCGCCTGCCAATCAGAACCCTATGCAAGGGTTCAGGCCAACGGGCCACTCTGGCTGTCTTAATTAAGCCCTAATTAAGCATTCTATCCGGAAACCTCTTCTCCCTCCTGTAGGGCTGCCCAGTTTACAGCAAACAATTCAGGGAGCCGGGTCAGCTGTTAGGAGGTGGCAGCCAGTAGGAGTGGCACCAACAGCTGTGAATGAATGCCAACTCGATTCAGAGATCGCCGAAAACCGCAGGACCCAGGAACTCAGAAATTCAGCCCTAATTAAGCATTCTGCCCTCTGTCCCTAACCTCAGTAGAGAAGTGTCCAGTTTGAGTCACCCCACTTTAAAAGTACATAGAGATGATCAGGGCTGGGAGTTCTGCCTAAGGAAAACAGGAAAACACTATGCAGCAAGATGCTCCCCGAGACACGAGCTCTAGGAACGAAAAACAGAACTGGCCACAGAAGCATGCTTACTGCATGTCTTCTTCCTTGAATTTCCAAAAAATGAGAACCAGAAACCATGTAACATTCCAGAAAAAGCCTTTTCTGGATTTAATGTGAGTATAAACCACAGGCCATAAAGCCATATCTATGCTCTGGGTACAACTGTAAAAGTGATGCGGAGCGCAGACAGGCGAGAACACAAAACAAGCTTGATCTGATGGATGCTGGGTTTAGGCAGCCAATTCTTTTTGTTTCTATTTTAATTCCCATTGTTACTGTTTGTGCAGCAATGATACCTCTTTTAAGGATTAGAGAGATGATCTCTCAGAAGAGAATCAAAGCTTTACAGGTTGAAGCAAAGGTTCTCCAGGGAGTGGCAACAGGACAGGTGAACACACACCAGTTCGAGCAGCAGCAGGTGCACACCTCGTTTTGCCCTGGCACTGCGCCCTGTGTGGCTCTCAGCAAGTCTCTTCTTCTAATACCTCCATTTCCATCTCTAGATCTAGAAGGATTCTAAGGCCCCTGCCACCTCCAAGTTCATAATTCTGACTGGTGGAGAGGTCAGATCAGAGGTCTAATCTATTCTCTCATGTGCAGGCACTCACCAGCCCATGCTGGGACACACCTGTGGCACCTACATCATGAGCACCATTAAACACCCTACTCTCCCCACTTCCCAAGCCCAGAACCCAGGCATCCACCTGAGAGTCTTTGTACCCTCCCCCCATATCCAACCACTTTCCAACTCCTGTAAATGTGACCTCCTTAACAATCTCTCAAGTTTCCACTTCTTTCTATCCCCACCACCATCACACACATTCAGGCCACCATGATTTGTATTTTTTTTTTTTTTTTTAGACAGTCTCACTCTGTCACCCAGGCTGGAGTGCAGTGGCACGATCTCGCCTCTCCGCAACCTCCATCTCCCAGTTTCAACCGATTCTTGTGCCTCAGCCACCCGAGTAGCTGGATTACTGGTGTGCGCCACCACTCCGATTCATTTTTATATTTTTAGTGGAGATGGAGTTTCACCATGTTGGCCAAGCTGGTCTCAAACTCCTGACTTAGAGTGATCCAACCACCTCAGCCTCCCAAAGTGCTGAGATTACAGGCATGAGTCACCGTGCCCCACCATGATCTCTTCCTTACGTGGATCATTGTAGCACCCGGTCTCCCTGCCTTCAGTCTTGCTCCTCTTCCAATCTATTCCACACACCACAGAGTAATCTTTCTCAAAGATGAAAGTTTGACCTTGTCACTTTCCTGTATACAACTCTATAATGTCACCCCATAACTTTTAGGATCATTTTTTAGGGCCCATGGTGTGAATTCTAAAGCCAGACCTCTTGGGCTCTGATATGGTTTGGTTTGGCTGGGTCCTCGTTTAGATCTCAACTTGAATGTATCTCCCAGAATTCCCACATGTTCTGGGAGGGACCCAGGGAGAGGCAACTGAATCATAGGGGCTAGTCTTTCCTGTGCTATTCTCATGATAGTGAATAAGTCTCACAAGATCTGATGGGTTTATCAGGGGTTTCCACTTTTGCTTCTTCCTCATTTGCTCTTGCCGCCACCAGGTAAGAAGTGCCTTTCGCCTCCCACTGTGATTCTGAGGCCTCACTAGCCATGTGGAACTGTAAGTCCAATTAAACCTCTTTTTCTTCCGAGTCTCAGGTATGTCTTTATCAGCAGCATGAAAACAGACTAATACAGTAAATTGGTACCAGTAGAGTGGGGTGTTGCTGAAAAGATACCCCAAAATGTGGAAGCGACTTTAGAACTGGGTAACAGGCAGAGGTTGAAACAGTTTGGAGGGCTCAGAAGAAGGCAGGAAAATGTGGGAAAGTTCGGAACCTCCTAGAGACTTGTTGAATGGCTTTGACTGAAATGCTGATAGCAATATAAACAATAAGGTCCAGGCTGAGGTGGTCTCAGACGGAGATGAGGAACTTATCGAGAACTGGAACAAAGGTGACTCTTGTTATGTTTTAGCAAAGAGACTGGCAGCATTTTGCCCCTGCCCTAGAGATTTGTGGAACTCTGAACTTGAGAGGGATGATCTAGGTTATCTGGCAGAAGAAATTTTTAAGCAGCAAAGCATTCAAAATGTGACTTGGGTGCTGTCAAAGGCATTCCGTTTTAAAAGGGAAACAGAGTATAAAAGTTCAGAAAATTTGCTGCCTGATGATGCAATAGAAAAGAAAAACCCATTTTCTGGGAGAAATTCAAGCCAGCTTCAGAAATCTGCATAAGTAGCAAGGAGCCTAATGTTAATCCCCAAGACAATAGGGAAAATGTCTCCAGGCCATGTCAGAGACCTTCATGGCAGCACCTTCCATCACAGGCACAGAGGCTCAGGAGGAAAAAGTGGTTTCATAGGCCAGGCACAGGGTGCCCCTGCTGTGTGCAGCCTAGGGACTTGGTGCCCTGTGTCCCAGCTGCTCCAGCCATGGCTGAAAGGGGCCAATGTACAGCTTGGGCTGTGGCTTCAGAGGGTGGAAACCCCAAACCTTGCCAGCTTCCACGTGGTGTTGAGACTGCAGGTGCACAGAAGTCAAGAATTGAGGTTTGGGAACCTTTGCCTAGATTTCAGAAGATGTATGGAAATGCCTGGATGCCCAGGCAAAAGTTTGCTGCAGGGGTGGGGCCCTCATGGAGAACTTCTGCTAGGGTAGTGCGGAAGGGAAATGTGGGGTGGGAGCCCCCATACACAGTCCCTACTGGGGCACTGCCTACTGGAGCTGTGAGAAGAGGGCCAACATCCTCCAGACCCCAGAATGGTAGATCCACCAACAGCTTGCACCAGGAGCCTAGAAAAGCCGCAGACACTCAACGCCAGCCCATGAAAGCAGCTGGGAGGGAGGCTGTACCCTGCAAAGCCACAGGGGCGGAGCTGCCCAAGACCACGGGAACCCACCTCTTGCATCAGCTTGACCTGCATGTGAGATGTGGAGTCAAAGGAGATCATTTTGGAGCTTTAAAATTTGACTGCTCCACTGGATTTTGGACTTGCATGGGCCCTGTAACACCTTTGTTTTGGCCAATTTCTCCCATTTGGAATGGCTGTGTTTACCCAATACATGTACCCCCATTGTATCTAGGAAGTAACTAGCTTACTTTTGATTTTAAAGGCTCATAGGCAGAAGGGACTTGCCTTGTCTCAGATGAGACTTTGGATTGTGGACTTCTGGGTTAATGTTGAAATGAATTAAGACTTTGGGGAACTATTGGGAAGGCATGATTGGTTTTGAAATGTGAGGATATGAGATTTGGAGGGGCCAAGGGCAGAATGATATGGTTTGGCTGTGTCCCCATTCAAATCTCAACTTGAATTGTATCTCCCAGAATTCCCACATGTTCTGGGAGGGACCTAGAGGGAGGTAATTTAATCACGGGGCTGGTCTTTCCTATGCTAGTCTCATGATAGTAAATAAGTCTCATGAGATCTGATGGGTTTATTGGGGGCTTCCACTTTTGCTTCCTCCTTATTTTCTCTTGGTTCTTGCCTCCTGCCATGATTCTGAGGCCTCCCCAGCCTGTGGAACTGTAAGTCCAATTAAACCTCTTTTTCTTCCCAGTCTCGGGTATGTCTTTATCAGCAGGGTGAAAACAGACTAATACAGGCTCATATCTCAGCCATGCCACTTGCTAGATCTGTGACTATGGGCAGGTTACTTCACAGTTTTGTGCTTTGGTTTTCCCACTTATAAGATGCCAGTAACAACAGTACCTACCTCATAAGGTTGTTGTGAGAATTAATGAGGTAATGCATGGAAACAGCTTACAACAGTACCAGGCATTTGATAAGCCCTTCGTAAGTGGTACCTGCTGTTATTATTTACAGGACTTCAAGGACCTACCTGTGCAGGCCCCACTCCCCCTCTCAAGCCTCTTCACTTTCCTCTGTCTTACTGCTCTCCACTTCCCAGGAGGTTCCAGACCTAGTGGATCTCTTCCTTTTTTGTTCATGGCACGGAGCCTCTGCATGTGCTGTTTCATTGCCAGGTACACCCTTCCTGCTGCTGGCTTCTCCAACTGACTTTTTAAATAGGTTTATTGAGATATGATTCACATAGCATACAATTTACCAATTTAAAGTACACAAGTCAATGGTTTTTAGTATATTCATGGAGCTGTGCAACCATCACCACAATCCATTTTGAAGCATTTTCATCACTCCAAAAAGAAAGAAACCTCATACTCATTAGCAGTCCATTTCCCCCCAGTTGTCTCCCCGCAAGCTTAGGCTAACTAACCTACCCCAATTGTTTTGTTTGTTTGCTTGTTGTTTTTTGTTGTTGTTGTTTTGAGATGGAGTCTTGCTCTGTCACCCAGGCTGGAGTGCAGTGGCACGATCTCAGATCACTGCAACCTCTGCCTCCCAGGTTCAAGCGATTCTCCTTCCTCAGCCTCCTGAGTAGCTGGGATTACAGATGCCCACCACCACGCCCGGCTAACTTTTGTATTTTTAGTAGAGATGGGGTTTCATCACGTTGACCAAGTTGGTCTCAAACTCCTGACCTCAGGTGTTCCACCCGCCTCGGCCTCCCAAATTGCTGAGATTACAGGAGTGAGTCACTGTGCCAGCCCCCAATTAGTTTTCAGGTCTCAGTTTATATCCCACTTGTTAAGTTTTCTCTGACCTCTACTCGGGGTCGGTGCTTTCACAGTACCCAGTATTTTCCCTCTCTCAGACTATATTTGACTATTTACTTGTATATATCCCCTGCTAGAATATAAGTTCCACATTGAGCAGGGCCGTGGTTGTCTGATTCACCATGATTTTTCAGTGCCTAATAGATGTTCACTAAATACTCATTGAATGACTAAAATCAATGGTGCTAACTAGCCAAAGCCAAGGCCCTATAAAGAGAGCCCTACTGAAAAAAACAACGGTAACAGAGCCTTCTCTATACTACAAATACTAGAAGTCATAACATATTTAAATATTCATGACATTCAAGTTTCCTACAACTATTCCCATTAGAGCCACCACTGAAATAAGGCAGATCCTTGCAAAATGAGTTTGATTTAGGCACTTTAACAAAGTAAGTCCTTGAGTGAGAGGGAAAACAGCTCTGGAGGCTGAGTAGGAAAAGGCAAGAAAGAGCCTTTAGGTGTTCAATAGCCTTTAGGTGTTCAATACTTGTAGATTTTATGTGATCTAGCATTACCAGGTTATTACTGGATAAAATGAATATGAACACATTTTGTTTAAAAGAAAATGTTCAAAAGAAAAGAAGGAAGAAAGAAGTTAGTTCTGGAAGTTTCCTATAAAGCCATTCTGATAAGTGATTCTTATTTTCCTGCAGATTCCCCATTATAACGTTACAGCTGCATTCCCCAGACAATAAACTATGCCCTGGATGCTTATTTCAAAATCCAACGATCACCAGAAGAAAGGCAATTACCTCCCAATTAAACATTAAGACAATTTTTCAATCTATCAACAAACTGCTGCAAAGCAGTTACAAAATAAAAACAACGAAAGTCTCCCTCTCACATACTTCAGTCTACTTCACATGCTGATGGCAGATTAACTTTACTGAAAGCACAGCTTGGTCATACCTCCCCCTTATTCAAAACCCTTCAATGACTCCCCATTGCCTTCAGGATAAAGAACAAACTCCTAAGTGAGTATTTGAAGATCCTTCTCCATTTGACACTGACCTAGTTACATGGCCTCATTTCTTTCTAATCATCTTCACATAACCCCCATCCTAACAAATTGCACTGAGCCTCCCGCCATGCTTTGATCTTTTTGCACCTTTGCCTAGAATGTTATTTACCCACGCCCAAACTCTCAATGTCAAATTCCACCTCCTTTTAAGCTTCGTCTAAATGCTGCTGTCTTCATGAAGTCCTCCCTGCTGTCCTCCTCCCTCATACATGCTTTCTACCATCTCTAGGCTTCCACAACCATTTTACTAAAGATGATTCTCCTGTATTTATCACTGGCTAGCTTGGATTATAGTTATTTTTGAACATGTTCTCTACCTCCTGATAAACTCGAATACGTCTCCCCCAGCACTTAACATGAGCCATGCAAATACAAGGTACAAAAAATCTGCAGAATGAATGAATAAAATAACAAATAAATGATAGAAAACCCAGTATAATACAGTTAGACACAGTCTAATTTATCAGTGTGCTTAGAGAAGTAGCAAGTTTTAAACGCAGAAAACATACCTCAGTGGTTGAGACGTTTTTTTCTACCTGCAAACCTGTTTCTGTTCAAATCCCCTATTTACTTTCTTTTTTCTTTTCTTTTTTTTTTTTTGAGAGAGAGTTTTGCTCTTGTTGCCCAGGCTGGAGTGCAATGGCGTGATCTCAGCTCACCACAACCTCCGCCTCCCGGGTTCAAGCGATTCTCCTGCCTCAGCCTCCCGAGTAGCTGGGATTACAGGCATGCGCCACCATGCCCGGCTAATTTTGTATTTTTAGTAGAGTTGGGGTTTCTCCATGTTGGTCAGGCTGGTCTCCAACTCCCGACCCCAGGTGATCCACCCGCCTCGGCCTCCCAAAGTGCTGGAATTACAGGAGTCAGCCACCACGTGCCCAGCCTATTTACTTTCATTTTTGGCCCACCTATCTTTCACTCCTGCTAGGTGTGTGTGTATAGTAGTAATGCAGAGAAGCAGAAAAAGGGAATCATTATTCAAAGCTAGCAGCAGCAACAGAGAAACTCTCTCTTCGGTAAAGAAAACTCAGAATCCATAAAAGAAAAAGAAACAAAGTGAGTCACTGCCCTGGGTGTCAAACACATGGAGAGGATGACTTAAGCCATGGCAGGCAATGGTTCTGTAACTTCACTGCCTATCAGATCACCTGGAGGACTTGTTAAAACACAGGTTGCTGGGCCCCACCCGCAGAGTTTCCCTAGGTCTGGGGCGGGGCTGAGAGTTCGTATTTCTCACAGGCTCTCGGAGAATACAGGTGGGGACCATACTTGAAGAATCCTCAATGCAGACCATCAAAGGAATCAAGCAAGTCAAGGTCAAGGGATCAGCTGTGGTATATGGCATAGGCATTTCTAAAACTAGAAGATTCATTTTAATTAAGACATACGGAAAAGTTAAATTAGGTAGTGATTTTTTTCCCCTTCTCACTCACTTGTAATTCAGAGGCTAAATTCCACAGAGCTGACCAGAGAGGCATGGACAAGGAAGTTAGGGGACCTGGATCCAAGTCCTGATTCTGTCACTAGTTAGCTGTGTAACCAAAGATTGCTCATTATCCTCTCAGGACATCATTGCACCATCTGAAACAGGGATTTATTCAACGTGAAAGTCTCTAGCCTGGGGTCTCACATCCTATGATCCCCCAATTTTGAAAACCTGTTGGCAAGTTAGTTCCAAAAGTATTTAATGATTATCTTATTTATATATAAAATGATTAAGGATGCTGCCTTTTGAAAACACAAAACAAATGTGAGAAATAATTACCAGTTAAATTTGAGAAGAACCCATAATAAATAAATTGCGATTATGAACACTGAAAGAATCTTAATCAAACAGGTTTCATAAAGGATAAGTGCTCAAGAACAAATATACCGTGGAAACAGGTTTTTTTTAAGATATGGAGAAGGTATCACAATTGAGAAGAACCAAAACAGCCCCCTTTCCAAGAACAGTCTAGAGAAAGCAGCACACGTTACAGAATGAGCAAACACCAACTCACCAGTGGCACAGAGCTGAAGGGACTCTTCCTCGGAAAGAAATCCACACCTCTTCCCCCTGCTGGCAGCTCCCCTCCATCCCAGGACACTGCTCCCGGGCCTCCCAGCACACAGCTATTTTTAAAGATAAAAGGCCACATTCCCAACATTGCGGCCACAAGAATGTGAATATCAAATGACCTTCCCATAGCTCATCGATAAGCCCAAGTAAAACCGACTGCCAGGCCATGTGGGCAAAGTTGGGTGGTATCTCTGTGGCACGGGCCCCCTCCTCACAGGAGCATGACCCTCCTCATCTGCGGATACTGGGCAGCTGCAGCTATGCCTGTCAACATGTCTGGCTTCTCTCCTTTCAGCACGACAGGCACAGGAGTCCTGCAGATGGCATTCTCATCCTCAAGACCTCAACCACTTGAGCCAGTCGAGAGAGGAAACCCTAGAGGTCCTTGATTGGCAAACTGGCTTCCTCTGTGCCAAGGGCAACACAGAAGATGACACCCAAGGTCTCATGATGCATCCATTTTATAGTTGTAGAGTTTATTCTGTGCCACATAATACTTGGTCTCCTGCTAGTTCTGCCCAGTTGTGTTCAGTTAAAGTTAATAGCAATGGCATTAGCTCACTAAGCCTCACAGCATCCCAGGGAGGTAGGTCACCCCTAAGCACATTATCCCCCCTTAACAGATGGGGAAATGACGCCACAGGAAGATTAAATAACTTGCCCAGCCTCACACAGCCTGCCACAGGTAGAGCAGGAGATGATCTCAGCCCTCATGCCGGCTCATGGACAAAGAATACTCTGGATAAAGCCCTTTGCAATTTTAGGATCCCATGAAGTGTGGGTGGTTTGCATTACAGAGGTTGAAAAAGAAATAAGCACAGGGGTAACCTTCTTTTTTTTTTTCTTTTTTTGAGACAGAGTCTCCCTCTGTCACCCAAGCTGGAGTGCAGTGGCACGATCTCGTCTCATTGCAACCTCTGCCTCCGCCTCCCGGGTTCAAGCAATTCTTGTGTCTCAGCCTCCCAAGCAGCTGGGATTACAAGTGTGTGCCACCATGCCTGGCTATTTTTTTTTTTTAATTTTTAGTAGAGATGGGGTCTCACCATGTTGGTCAGGCTGGTCCTGAACTCTTGACCTCAAGCAACCCGCCCGCCTCAGCCTCCCGAAGTGCTGGGATTACAGGAGTGAGCCATTGTGGCCAGCCCAGGGGTAACCTTAAAACTGCTTCAGGCCTGGCACAGTGGCTCATGCCTGTAACCCCAGCACTTTGGGAGGCTGAGGTGGGCAGATCGCTTGAGGTCAGGAGTTCTAGACCAGCCTGGCCAACATGGTGAGACCCTGTCTTTACTGAAAATACAAGAAAATAGCTGGGCTTGGTGGTGCGCACCTGTGGTCCCAGCTGCTTGGGAAGCTGAGGTGGCAGGATCGCTTGAGCCTGGGGGAGCAGCAGTTGCAGTAAGCCAAGGTCACGCCACTGCACTCCAGCCTGGGTGACAAAGCAAGACCCTGTCTCAGGAAAAAAAAAAAAAAAAGCATGCTTCAATTGTCTCTCTTTTCCCATGTCTCCCCAGAACACCATAAGAGAGGAATACTTTTTAATACACAGCTATGAACTGAAAGATGGTATGGGCACTGATGCAAGGCGAGGACGGAACCGACTGGGAGGCAGCAAAGGGCCTCAGTGAGGAAGGATCAAAGGAGAGGCGAGGCCAAGTAGGGTTCTATCAGTGACTCTGTACCTCAGAAAGCTAGGCACAAACTGGTGACTGCTAGCCTGAAATTATGCCCGTTTCATTCCTTTATGCATTGAGTACTTGCACATCTCTTCAGTCAAGAAGCTTGAAAAGTCATCAAGGAGTGCACATAAATCACTGAAATACAAAGTAAAAAAGAGTAAGGACCAGTGCAGAGAGGCTAGTAGAACACCTGGGAGTTTGGTGGTGGGAGATCCCATCCAGCTGTGGATAAAGTAGAGTGAGCTATCAGGGAAGGCTTTGTGCAGGAGGTGAGCAGAGCGTGAAGGACAGGATAAGACCTGCAGGGGTAGGGAGAAAGGCAACGGGGGCACACCAGGGGAAGGGCATAAAGTGCACAGAAGGGAGATGGCACTGGGCTACCCTGAAGACCAAAGGTTCAGCTTAGCATGAAGACGATGAGGCATAAAAGGTATGTGAAATAAAGTGGAGGTATCGGGGTAGGAGTGGCAGGTGGAAGAAGCCAGATCACCAAAGGCCTTAAGTGTGGGACTAAGGACATTTACATTTCACTCCTAGCCACAGTACTCAGCATTGTGCCTTGCTCACAGTAGACACTCAATAAGTGTTAGTGGGGCAAAATGCAGGAAGGCAATTTAATTTCTGAGTAACGCAGAACAACTGTGAAGAAGACACCCAAAAAATGCCCCCATTTTCTTTTACCAATTGATATCTAGTCAGGAGAACTCCTACTACCTACCTAAAATTTGCTATGTTCTGCCCCACACGGAGACCAGGGAATACTTGCCATCAGCTTCTCACCCAAGAACACTGTGAAAATTAACGATGAGGTAATGTCTGAAATGCTCAGAGCTCTTTGGAGATGTATGGCAAAAGGCATCACTATCTTTAATATTCAAAGTGATTCTACCCAACTCTGATCTCTTTTTCTGCAGACTAATGTTACGTCCACAGGATAAGGTGATGCCAGATTGACCCCTAAATAAACCTCTCCAACAGACAGTGCCAACACAGGTGCATACTGCTGAGCCCTCACATGTGGCTGCTGGGGTCCAGAACCATAAGGCAGGAGTGGTTTCTGACCACCCCAACGTTGCCAAAGACTTCAGGAGCAAAGTGCATTAGGTAGAAAGTGATCTTCTGCGGGACCCCACTTTTAAGCATGAGAAAGCCCAGTGAAGACTTCAAGGGGAATCATTTTAGCAAAACCCACATCCTAAGCCAGTTAACATTTTTAGGTCTAACGCAGTGCCCAAGAAAGGAAGAAATAAGAATAGCTCCCTGGGCTCAATTACAAATGGAGTGGAAAAAATAATTTCAGAAGTTCAAGGGGAAAAAAAATCAATCTATTTCCTTCCCCCAAAGCTTTCACTTCTATAAATATACTCACACAAATGGACCTAAGACCACTCTTCCTTCTGAAAACACCACCTGTCTGGAATTTGCAAGATAAATGATGTGCTCATTTAGTTTTCCACCTAGTGACGCTCAAACAACGCTCTCCAAAAGCTTATCTCTTTTTCTTAATTGTCACTTATTTCCTCCCTCTTATAAAAGTAATACATGTGGCTGGTAGAAAATTTTGAAAGTTTTCTTTTTTGGAGAGAAGATAATAAAAATTGTCCACTAAAAGCTATAAGTTGCTAATTACTCTTCCAGTCTTTTTGTGTGAAAAGACACATTTTCAACATAATTGGGAACTTACCATATATGCTGGTTTCTAAACTGAAAAATATACACTGTAAACATTTCCCTGTGTCTTTATTATTCTACAACATTATTGTTTATTTGCTATAGATAAGAGTGCCATTTTTAAAGCTAAGTCCCTATTGCTGGATATTTGGTTTATTTTCGATGTCTGTATTACAAATATGTTGAGATAAACATCTCTGAAAATACATCTGTAATTATTCTCTTAGGATAAATTCCTAGGAATGGCACTGCTGGGTGAAAGACTATACAAGTTTTTAATGCTTTTGATATAGCCAAATTGCCCCCCACAAAAGCTATCCCAATTATGCTCCCTTGGTCAGTAGGAAAACTACTTCCCCCAATTACTCAGTCACCCCTAATTTATTAGATTTATAAGGGGGCTTCTGTTTGCAGTTCTTTTCTTTGCTTTTATTGCTGATTTTATTTGTAGTTCTTTGATTATTCCAGAGTCAGGTTTTTCCCCGAATGTTTAGTGTCTATAGCATATCTTAGAGAATATCTTTACTGTGTGCTTCTATTCATCAAAAAGTTGATGTCCTCGGATGAAGCTGGAAACCATCATCCTCAGCAAACTAACACAGGAACAGAAAACCAAACACCGCATGTTCTCACTCATAAGTGGGAGTTGAACAATGAGAACACATGGACACGGGGAGGGGAACAACACACACCGGGGCCTGTCGGGGGTGGGGTAAGGGGAGGGAGAGCATCAGGACAAATAGCTAATGCATGTGGGGCTTAAAACCTAGGTGATGGGTTGATAGGTACAGCAAACCACTAGGCACATGTATACCTATGTAACAAACTCGCACATTCTCCACATGTATCCCGGAACTTAAAGTAAAAATAAATAAATAAATACATACATACATACATACATACATAAATGTCGATGCCCTACATCCCCTCCAAAGGGCATCTCCCCCACCCCACCACCAAGGGCAGCCCAGTGGTCTCCCTGCTCTGAATCTGTCACCCACATTTTCATCTCGGTGCCCTCCACTCCTCTCTCAGGAAACATTTCACAGTTCCAGCAGGTGAGTCAGACACAGAACCTAATAATCAGTCATTTATTCAGTTATTCATTTATTCAGGTGATAGCTCTTGGGCGTCTGTCATGCTCCAGGTACCATACTGAAACAGAAGTAGAGTCAGCCCTTCATATCTGGGGCTTCTGCATCCGTGGATTCAACCAAACTTGAACTGAAAATATTCGGGGAAAAGATGCATGGTTGTGTCTATACTGAACATGTACAGACTTTTTCTTGTCATTATTCCCTAAACAATACAGTATAACAACTATTTACATAGCATTTACACTCTATTAGGTATTATAAGTAACCTGGAGATAATCTGAAGTATACAAGAGGATATGCATAGGTTATATGCAAACATTACACCATTTTATATAAAGGACTTGAGCATCCATGGATTTTCTTATCTGCAGTGGGGTCCTGGAACCAATCCCCTATGGGATACTGAAGGATGACTATATAGACAAAACACTACGAGAAACCAGGAGAGGCAAAGTCACGAGGTTAGAACAGCAGAAGAACACTAGAATTGAAAGATAACTAGGAGTTTTACTGGTAGATGGAGTGTGGCAGTGGAGAGGGTAAGCAAAGGAAATAGCATGAACAAAAATCCAGAGGCCTGCTAGAGCCTTGTGCATTGAAGAAATGTTTTCATTATTAAGGCATGAGAACAACAGGCTGGAGGATGAGACTGAAAAGTTAGCTCAAGCCTAATTCCCATGCTGAGTTCACCTGCTGATCAGCCCCCTCCCCCTGCATCTCCACTCTGGCATGCAATCCCCACCTGGCCCATCTCCAATGCAGACTCCTCCAAAAGACTTCCTGAAGAACCATCTTCAGCATCCATCTATCCAGATCTCTCAGCCTGGGGCAGAAATCCTGGCACTCACACCAATTTACTCAGCAATCCCCAGTGAACAGATCATTCTGTTCACTGACTCTTGGGTATAAGACTTACTAGTCCAGCTACAAAAGAAATTTCTGGCTAATGATGTCTCTTATACCCCTAGGCTGTCAACACTAGGCTAAACTTCTAATGGGCAATCAATAAAAGCCTACGGTATCTAAACAAATTAAATTGGGCAGACTAAATACAAGAGAGGGATGAGTGTGCACAGGTTGTACGCATCTAACTGTCACCCAGACAGCTAGGAAAATTGAAACTGTCTTTGAAAATGAGCTTCTGAACACAATCATGGCAAAAGATAGATTAATTCTCTTTACGCATGTAATTCTGCATCTTCCCAGACATTTCTCAGGCACACAAACAGTACTTGTTAAACTGAGCTGCATGTCCCAAGAGCTTCTGTACATAAAGGTCAATCTATTCTGAAGACTTGGATATTTTTTTTTTCTTTCCAAGAAGGCAGGAGAATAAGAGAGGAAAGAAGGTCCCTCACATAGGTCATCTCTGCTGGGATTTTCCATACTGATAATTCCAATTCAAAGCAAAAAATCCTAGTGCCACCTGGGAAGACCTGGTCTCCATCATTCATATTTTTATGTAGTAACAAACATTTCTAGATAGCTCCTCCCTGAGGGCAGTGGGCCCATACATTGATCAAGTGGCTAGTCTCTCCCTGTTCTGGTTCCGATCCCTCAGCCCTGTATTCCCTACCACAGCATTCATGATGCTGACTTCTTATTTGTCCCCACACTAGGCTGTGACCTCTGTAAGGCCAAGGACTGTAACTCCATCTGTATTTGCTCTGGGGCCTAGAACATCACTTTCCAAATAATGAATGGCCATGGTTTGAATGTACCCCCCAAAGTTCATGTGCTAAAACTGTGATCCCCAATATGGCAGTGATGGGCGGTGGGGCCTAATAGGGGATGTTTGGAACATGGGAGCACCACCCTCATGAACAGACTAATGCTGTTATTGCAGGAGTGGGTTTATTATTGTGCGATTGGGTTCACTCCTCTTGCCCTCTCTTTGCCCTTCTGTCATGGGATGACACAGCAAGAAGGCTCATGAAAGATACCGGCCTCTTGATTTGGACTTCCCTGCCTCCAGAGCCACAACCAATAAATCTTTATTTATTATAAATACCCAGTCTGTGGTATTCTGTTATAGCAACATGGATGTGAGGGCAATCTGGCTGTGACATCTGTCACCCCACTGGTCACCAGGTTTGATTCAGCTGATCTGGCTGGCTAGGCAGGTGTCCCCTTCCTCCCTCACCACTCCATGTGCATCCCTCCCGAAGCTGCATTCTTGGTCAAAGAGGACAGCCATCCCCGACAGAGGAGGACTGGTCTTTGGTCAAGGGTATACGAGTAGCTGTGCTCCCCTGCTGGAACCTCCAAACAAGCTGTTAGAGCAACACAAAACAGTCTAAGACATGGATTATCTATGCTGTGAAATTAAATGTAGTGTCAAAGCTGTAGAGGACCTTGGATATAACCTAGCCCACAGATAGGAAACTGAGGCCCAGACAAGGGGAAGCAACCTTCAAATTCACACAGAGAGGTGGTGGTAGTTTGCAGGTGGAAGAGAATAAGAAACAAACATGTCAGGAATGCCGTAAGCTTGAGGAATTAGGACACTGGGGGGCTTTATGAAATTTGGAAAGGATGAGAACTTGAGGCAAAACTAAACTTTGTTCTGGATAGCCTCTAACACACAGAACCAGTCTTATCTCTCTTCTCCATGACAGCCCTTCAGATAACATAAAAAGAATATTAACATTTATTGAATATTTACCATGTGTAGGTGGAAAACAGGGGTCATTATATCCTCCCTGTATCTTCTTTTCTGTAAGCTTAACATGCACAGATAATCAATTAAGAAAGCAAGTAAACAATGGGCCTCAGATCATGCAACTGGTAAACTCAGGCCTGATGAAGTCAAAGGCCTGGGTACTTCCCCCTGCACCCTCCTGCCTCTGTGACTCTAGTACTAAGACTACAAGGCACCAAGAAGAGCCAGCTGGACCGAATTAGCAAGTTCCCAGGTCAGTCTGGCCATGTCACAGAACAACAGGCAGCAGTTCCAGGGGCTGGACATTAGGTCCACCGCCTCCCTATCCTCTGAAAGTGCAGAGAGGGGGCACCACCCCTCCAAGTCTCTACTAACTTGGCTGATATAGCAAACCAACTCCAGGAGAGAATATAAGATGGAGAAACACAGAGGCCCACATATGCTCTTGACTTAGCCAGGATACTACTGATGACTGTAGAGACCAATGAAGGCAGCTGGGAGCCAGATGCAGCTAAGGAAGTAGTCATAGCCATGCATTCATTCATTTCATCGGTCAACACTGTACCCCCCAGGCCTCCTTCTGGGCTCCGTACTGAATGAGCAGCAAGGCTCGGTCCCTGCCCAGGAAGCTCACAGTCAAGTGGGGAAGGTTACACAGCAACACCCCATGACCACACTGTCTGGGGAGTATTGCCTTGCAGAAATGAAAGTGCAGGAGGGAAGGCTCCCAAAGTCTGGAAAAGATATCCCAGATAAAGCATCATATTTTGATGTGGGGATATTTTGAAGTGGCTATACCAAACAAGCCTTGTCAAAATGGAAAATCACTGTTCTTTAAACCCATTGTTTAAACCTACTTTAAAATCACTGTTCTTTAAGAGAAATGAGAAGCGGAGGTCTCTAAGCAGTGCAGTCTGAATATCTTCCTTACTAGATGGTCCTTAAGGTCCCTGTAAGACCTGAGCTTCTTCCAGTGCAGCTCCATCGGATGATGACCAGGAAGGGGGCCACCTGAGGTCAACTTTGGATACACTGTTCTATCCATCTTTCTCTTCTTTATCTCCTAGTCACCCACTAGGGCTCGGTTCAAATGCCAGTCCCTCCCAGAAGCCCTCCTAGATCTCCCTGCAAGGCATGGCCAGCCCTTGCTAGGCTCCCAAGGGTCTCTGCAAAGCACAGCACCCTGCCCAGCACTGACTTACTTCCAGCCGCAGGTGGGGCAGGGACTGTCTGATTCATCTCTCTCCTCCCTCCCCGCCTCTCCTCCCCAGCCCCTATCCCCACACAGGCCTTTCTTAGCAAAGCACATTGAAATGAGTGCAGCAGCCATCTAGGAGGATGCCGTCGGACAGGAATCCTGGGGGCAGCAATGAGTGGAGAGTCTGGAGCTGCTCAGTGTCCAGAACTTCCCAGGCCACTACCCTCCCCCTGCTTTCTCTCAGCTCCACTACTAGCTTCACCAGACGCAGCTCTTCTGCTTGCCCCTCAGTTTTGTTTTTTTTTTTTTTTTTTTAGTGCTTGAAAAGTCAACTGCAAACAAAGCAGCGCACTCTCTTTGTGGAGAAAAGCACATTTTAGTGGGAGTTGCATTTGGAGAGCCCAGAAGCCAGCAGCAGACTGGAGATCACACTTAAAGGACCATGGAACTTCTGAAACAGGCTAGTTGTAGGGCAAGAAGATGATACTACTATGCCCTTACAGGGTTGTCAAGGAGCATTTCCTGATTTTTTACAGAGTATTTGGGCACTGAGAATATAATTTCCCTCAAATTCAGTGAGCCAATCTCAGTCTAAATTAGTGGGAAAATGTGAAGACATAAGTCTTCCACTATGTGTCCCTTCTTTGTCCAGAGCACATTCACTGTGGGATCTTCCCTACGTCTGAGAACCGGCAATGAATATTTTAATAGCCACAGCTTCTCCTTCCCACTGACAAAACCTCCACTGGACTCGCCATAGCATGCTGGTGGAAATGAGGGTATGCACCAGAAAGACCTGAGCTTTCTCCTAGGCAGCCTAATCCCTGAGGGCCCCACCCACATCTGTACAACAGGAGTGATAGGAACAGCCCCGGCACCCTTCAGAGCAGCAGCCAGGATGCTGAAGGAAGGAGGAGACAGAAGACATGTGGCCTGAGGATCTGAGGCCAGTGACCCTGGAGAGCTGGGTTCAAATACAATAGAAACAAAAGGGAGTTGCAAAAGTAGAGAAAGTAGAGAGCCAATGGCTGAATGGCGGCCACCCTAAAAAGATATCCAAGTCTTGGCTGGATGTAGTAGCTCACACCCGTCATCCCAGCACTTTGGGAGGCTGGGACAGGAGGACTGCTTAAGCTCAGGAGTTTGAGATCAGTCTGAGCAACATAGCAAGGCCTCATCTCTACTAAAAATAAAATTTAAAAATTAGCCAGTTGGTGTGCGCCTATAGTCCCAGCAATTTAGAAGGCTGAGGTGGGAGGATCACTTGAGCCCAGGAGATCAGCACTGCAGTGAGCTTGATCATGCCACTGCACTCCAGCCTGGGTGACAGAGCCAAACCCAGTCTCAAAAATAAATAAATAAATAAATAATTCCAAGTCCCAATCCCAGGAACCTGTAAATGTGATCTTATTTGGAAAAAGGATTTTTACACCTATAATTAAATTAATGATCTTTAGATGACGTGCTTATCCTTGGATTATCCAGATGGACCCTAAATCTCAGGACAAGTGTCCTTATAAGAGTGAAACAAAGATTTGAAACAGACAGGAGGAGGCAACGTGACCAGGGAGGCAGAGACTGGAGTGATGCAGCCACAAGTCAAGAAATGCCAGTGGGCACCAGAAGCTGGAAGTGACAAAGGAAGGATTCCCCTTAGAGACTCCAGTGGGACAGCAGCACTACCAACATCTCGATTTTGTACTTCTGGCCTCCAGAACTGTTCAAGGACACAGTTCTGCTGTTTTAAGCCAAGATTGAGGTGATTTGTTACAGCATTTACAGGAAAAAATACAGCACCTAAGAAGTAGTCAGACAGATGAGGGATCTGAGTCCCAGAGAGGGGGCTCACTCACCCGACCCCACGTCAACCACTGGGCCAGGACACTCGGGTCTCTCTGACGCCAAAGTGCATGCAGTTCCGTAGTGGCCCAGTGCACAGCTCAGAAGGGGGACCCACCGGGACCTAACTGGCCTCAGGCTGTGCTAACGCAAATATAGATTCCGAAGTGAGGCTGCAGTGGGCTTGCTCCTGTCTGGGCTGATCAGACCCCCACCTGCACAGCGGTGTCCCATTCTTAGCTTTTCAGGGGGCCAGATAAAGTGGGCATTCTGCCTAAAGAAGTGAAGATGTGGGGGCCTGATCCCTGTCTTTGAAGGTCCAAGTGGCCTAACTAGCTGTCATAGGGAAGAAGAAATGGATTTTTTGTGTGTGGGGCTTCAAAGGACAGGATCGGGCCAATGGGGCAACCATTGCCGAGAGGAAGATTTTTGGCTTGGAATAATGAAGAACTTTGTAATAACCAGAGCCAACTGAGGATGGAATAGGAAGGTGGTGGGGGTTGGTAGGTCCAAGCAGAGGGAGGCTGGGTATGCTAGGGGAATTCCTGCACCACACAAAGGCTGTACTTGATCATCTCCGGAGCTGGCAGTCTTGTTTGAGGGTCTATGCTGGTAGCTAAAATATCTGGAAACATATGTGTGAATCTAGGTTTTCAGCACATAAACAAGGCACACTCTCACTAAGACACTTATTACGCAGTTTTTGCAAAGAGCTAAGTACTGAAAATAACCAGGAATGAGCTTGAGAAAGAGACCGTCTATTCTTCCATCTCCTATACATAAAATGTCCCTCACCCCAGGGAGAAAGAAAGAGGCCAAGTATGTATCTCCACAGAGACATCATCTTCTAACCAGACCAGGAACTAACAGCACATTCACAGGTACCAGGGGAGCCCTGGACAGTCTGGAGTGGTGTCTTTTTCCAGGGAAAGCCAGAGAGAACAGAGACTGCAGCTACTAAATAAATTATTTTTATAAGAACGAATAAATGCCATCCTCGTCTTTAATAATTGTTTTTCCTTTTGCATCCTTCTGAATTCTACATTGGAGCAAAGAAAACAACAAAGCAGTAACTCAGAAGCTTCACATGTGAATAGTTACAAGTCAGCATCAGACAGGGGTTTCAACTGGCAGGGGAGGTGGGATTGTTATCGTTGGTTTTAATACAAGCTGTAGCCTACACCCTATATTCTAGATACTCAAAGAACAGGAAGCACAGCATTTCTCAGCTGCCTGCACATCTGTCTTCTCTTAAGTCAAAAATCTCAGAGAATGATGCACTGTTGCATCCAGATGAATTCCTCTGAAGCTCTTTCCATTCAGGATTTTGAAATTTTGCCATATCACCCTTTTACTGAAGCAGCTGAGGTTCTCAGATCATTCCTTGAAAGAGGTCAAAAGAACTTTTAAATTTACCATCTTATCTTTTCCAACTTGTAATTAGTGTTTTTTTTTTTCTTTTTCACCAAAACAACTAATATTAAGGCCACATACCATTTAGCAGCCAGCTTGGGAAAGGATTGGTGGCCCAAACCACTTCTAACTGCTGGCAAAAAGGTCTCTAAACATCAGATGAGTTCCTGAAAACACTGTGTCACTTAATGAAAATAATGGCTTCTGCCCTCATATCAATCTGCCAAGCACCTAGTCCGGCTTCCCACTGTCCTTCAGGCAGATAGTTAACTGAAAAAAAAAAAGTCTCAGATTTGCAAACCTGTATAATGTAATCTGTAATTACCAAAACAAATTTAATCCACTGTTAGTACTGCTTCCATGAACATATATTAAGTTTAGTGTATATCTCAGGATACAGTAAAAGTACAACTACAATAGCTGTGGATAAACCAAAATTTTATACATTGATTGGTGTTAAGTGCATAGGTATATTTGGTGTTTGAAAGCTTTCTATACTGATCTTTTTTACAGTAAGGAACGCTTTTATAATATAAAGAATGATTGTCAAAAGCTTCAAGGTTCAAATTTTACACAGTATATTCCTTTAAAATAGGCACACTGAAAAGCTAAATTCAAAACTCAGACTCATCTTAGAGGTTGCATCAACCCATCATCAAATGAAGGAGCTACATCTTGAGGGATCAGAATGCCACGAGTGAGTTCAGCTGACAACCATATGCAACCCCTAAGCATCAGCCTCATGTTTCTGGCTTGACTCAAACCATTTCAGATATCGGGAAAATCACAGGCTTTTGTCAATCCGATACAGACCATTATCAAGCTTGCATTAGGGCTAGGCTCTGTGAAAAGGGTTGTGGGGTAGAAAGATGAAGGACATTGTGCCGGCCCTCCCAAGGGCTTTCTATGAGCTGTGGCCACATACACAAGTGACCGCACACAAAATCCTTCAAGGCTGACAGTAATGACTTCTCCATGAGAGGTACCAAGTATCAGGGAACAGTGAAATCCCTGGGATGAGGGGATCTGGAAGACAGCTTCCTAAGGGTGGTAGGATTTGAGCTTAGCCTTCAGGCATAGGCAGGACCACCAAGGCTAAAGCACATGCTAGACAGAGGGGCTAGACGGGGGAGCAAAGGCCTAGAGACCTGAGGCTAGGGGGATTAAGAGTTGGGAGGCTGGGCACGGGGACTCATGCCTGTAATCTCAGCACTTTGGGAGGCCGAGGCGGGTGGATCACAAGGTCAGGAGTTCGAGACCAGCCTGGTCAATATGGTGAAACCCCGTCTCTACGAAAAAATACAAAAATTAGCCGGGCATGGTGGCAGGTGCCTGTAGTCCCAGGTACTCAGGAGGCTGCGGCAGGGCAATTGCTTGAACCCGGGAGGCAGAGGTTGCAGTGAGCCGAGATCGCACCACTGCACTCCAGCCTGGGCAACAGAGCAAGACTCCATCTCAAAAAAAAAAAAAAAAAAAAAAAAAGAGTGGGGACATGGTGCAGAGGAGGGGGTGTGAGAGAAAGGATGGAGGTAGCCCATCATGCCTGCTGGGCTGAGGACTCGGGACTTCAGTATCCATACAGGGAAGACCCACTGAAAGGCTCTAAGGAGGAGCATGATGAGATCAGAGCCACACTTTACAGTACAGAGCACTGAAGCCTGATGCTCAGAGAGAATGGAAAGATGGGGGCATATTTGAGAGAGATTTTGGAAGTAAAAATAACAGGGCTTGGTCACTGTTACTTTACAGGGCAAGGTCACTTGGTCCTTACTGAGTAGATTTCAGTAAGGAGGGAACAAGGGAGAAGGCACAGACAATTAGCCTCCCCTGCTGTAGTTTCCAGCTTGGGAGGAGGAGGGGATGATGGCTGAAGGGTACCCCGCAGCAAGCGGGCACAGCCAGTATTTTGGTACCAGGGCTGGTGGCACCAGGGGCTCAGCTCCACTCTTGCTTTCCCTTTATGCATCAATGAGCACCTCCGGGGGCAGGGAAGGAGGGAGGGAAAGAGATCCTAAAGAAGGGTCTACTGTGCAATGTCCCCGAAGTTGTAGCAGGAGCAGCAGCAGCAGCAGCTCACCACACCACTCGGCCTGATCCTGCAAGTGAAAAGTGCTGTGGGTGGTCATTTCTTCAAAATTCCTAAAATATATAATTCTGTATTGAAGGGGCAGAGAGCCTGCTCTTGAGTCTCCCCGATAACTGTGAGGATAATACCTGTGCACACAGACTGTCTAGTTGTACATGCACCAAGCCCCTTCAGGCCTCCAGGCCTTAGCATTTGCTGTTCCTTCAGCCTGGAACAGTTTCCTCCTTCTCTCACCCTCAATTGAACTTTTATTTGGTGCTTACTACATAACTGGCACTATTCTAAGTACTTTACATGTATCGACTCATTCAGTTATCCAACAACCCTCTCAAGGAGGTACTGTTATTATCCCTAGTTTACAGATGAAAAAACTGAAGTTCAGAAGATTAAATAACCTGATAGTGGAATATATTTAGTTAGCCAAGGGGCAAGTATTCAAATCCAGGTGGTGTGGCCCCAGAGTCTGCATTCTCATACACAGAACTACCCTACCTCTTACAGATACAGAGCTGCTGCACTGACCCTCACCCAGCTCCAGGCAAGACTGGCTCCCTCTCTCCTGTGGCTCTCACTGGCTCAGATAGGCCTGCCCTGACCACCCTCCAATGGAGTCCCACTCCTACTACTTTCTCCCACATTTCCCCACTTATTTTCTTCCCAGCCTTTGGCACAACCTGTAGTTACCTTATTTATGTAATGACTTCTTCATTATTTTCTCCAACTAGAATATAAACTCCAGGAAGGTAGAGACCTTGCCTTTTGTTCCGATGTATTCTCGAGGCACCTAGAACAATTTTCTGGCAGAGAGCAGGTGTTCTATGAACAACCATTGATTGAAAAAATGAAGGACAGTACCATAGATGCTACATAGTGCTACACAGGGTCATAAGGTATTGCAATGTTATTCTTCACCCTCTGTCTTCTTTTTTTTAGAGATGGAGTCTCACTCTTTTGACCGGGCTGGAGTGCAGTGGCCTGATCATAGCTCACCGCAGTCTCGAGTGAGACTCAAGTGATCCTCCCACCTCAGCACCTCAGCCTCCCAAGTAGCTGGGACCACAGGTGCACACCCACTACACCCAGCTAATTTGTAAATTTTTTGTAGAGATGGGGTCTCACTATGCTACCCAGGTTGTATCCTATTCTTTGACCACTGCAAATCTAAGACAGAAGGGAGCCAGTACCCCGCTCCCAGCTATATGGACAAAGCTGATATATTTAGAGCTGTGTCTGTCAAATCTGCCCCCCTCCCCCACCAATCTGGGTCCTTGAGTACATAGTGATAAGCTTGTGTGAGGCAGGGATTGAGCCTTCTGATTAGCCTTCTGTGACCTCCCACCACCTAACAGTATTTACAGGGCATTGCCTGTTGTTGATGTTAGTATCTGATCTGAACACCTTCCAAATAACAAAAAGCCCCTGCCCCTTGAATCAGGAGGCACCTCGAGGACACATCACATTGTCACAAGAACTCTCTGCTGCTGGTGAGGTTCTAAATCAATGCACATGCTTAAACCAAAAGCACTATTTACTCCAATGGTGCCTTCAAACACTTATTCAGCTTGCCCATGAACCCTCTGATAAAAAGAATTGACTTTTATCCAACACCTATTACATGCAAACATCCTATTAGACACTGTTATACATGATCTCATTTAATCTTGTGAGTTTGGAATTATTATTATTCCCGTTTTACGAATTAAAAAAGTGACGCTCGGAGGCCCAATACTCCACAGCCAGCGAGGATTCCAGCCCAGGTTCAGAGCCTCCAGAGCCTCTTCCCGCTGCCCTGTCTCTGAAGTGCTCTGCCTTCTCTGTGCTTCCACCAGGCTCACTGCTCTCATCTGTCTCATGCTCTCCCAGCTCTCACCAGTTCCTTGCTCGTACCAGCTCCTTGACCTACACATAGCCTTTCTATTCCTCACCACCTGTTGAAATCCTCTTCTTCCTCCACCTTCCATTGTAAAGCCTTCTCCAATATCTCCACTTGGAATTCACCCTCCTTAGTGTTCACAGGAATCCCAGGCGATAAAGCCCACAATGAAGATCCTGTGGCACAAGCCTCTCTATTCCCCAACAGAACCTAAGCTCCTTGAGGGTAGGGCCTGTTGGTAATTTTCATGTTTGTGTCCTCTCGAATGAGTAGTGAGAAAGTGCTTGATGAACCAATAGAGAATGAAGAGGGAAAAGACTGGTGGCATTTGAATGCGTCAGAGAGATAAAAGGCTCTGGACAAATTAGCTTCAAGGATGGGGTCTCATTCAGGAAAGACAAACTTAGGTACCACAACTCTGCTCTGGTCACCAAGCACACCCTCACCAGCTCTCTGATTTCATAATGCTAGAAACTTAAAACCAGGATGTCGAGGAAGGAAATAAAATCATAAAATCACTTCTGTGAGAATCCTTTCGTGGTAATGCGTTTCACCCACACACTGGGGAGCCACTAATTGCAGCACAAGGGGAACAAGATATTGGGCAAAAGAATAAATTTCACTTTCTAGCATATCACAGTTAACTACCTCGTGCTTGTTTTGCTGTGACTGTGCCAGAATGCACCAGTCCTGGAAAAGATGAACTTGGCTCCTTAACCGTACCCATACTCAACACCGACCAAAGGATGCCCGAAATTGTCTTGATTGGAAATCATCTCAACCATCATCTTAGACTAGAAACAAGTAGATGCTGGCCTCTAGGTCAGGACCCCTAGAACAGTGCATTATTTTTTTTTCCCAAACAACCATTCTGAGGTTTTTACAAAAATAACCGACTCACAAACAGAAACGCTTCCTGATCTATAAGCCACTTTGAAAACAAATCATTATGTCGTTGAATATTTCATGACGGTCCAAAGCACTGAAGAAGGCGAACTGAGCGTTCACCAATCCTCCCCATGTCTATTTTGGGACTTCCAAAGCAAACTGCAAATGCCTCCTTTATTTTCTAAACGTTCATTTGCAAGTGCTAGATGGATTCTTGGTGAAATATTGCCTCCACCCAAACTGACTAAATGCAGAGATCCGGAGGTTCCGCTTCTCCAGAGTTTACAGCTGAAAGAGACAGCGAACAACTAGTGAACACGACTTCCACCCTATTTTATAGGTGGCAAAAGCAGGGGGCACTTGCCCAAGGTCACACAGACAGTGGGTGTATGGCAGAGGAGCCACCAGAAGCCAGAGTCCTGACTCCTAACCCTAGGGGCATCCCCTGCTTCCCGAGGCTGACTCAACGCCCCCACTAAAGCTCAGTCAAAGCTGCTGCAAGTTAGCGACGCGACCCTGGAGACTGACTTCTGTGGCTCATTCCTCTCCACACGCAATGAGTTCTGGAGCTGAGACACTCAGGGATGCCCCTCTACTCAAAAAATGACAACACAGGCATTGGCACTGCAGCTGATCGTCCCTGGCGAACCCCTTCTGGTTCAGGTGTGGCCATCGAGGACGGACAGAGAGGGTTGGTCTGAGGTCACTCAGAAAGTTGGCGCTGGCCGCGGCCGCACCTGAACCCAGGTCTCTCCCCCTCCCGCGTTGCCGCTGTTTCCACTCACTACACCATGCAGATCTCGGAAACTTAAGCACACATCGCTACTGTGCAAACAGTTCACGATGGCAGGTCCTGAGCTAGCCCACGGACGCGCCCCCGAGCCGGGCTTGGGGACACGAGGACCGGAGGCGGGCGCGGGTCACCCGGGACTGGTGGTGCAGGCGGAGGGCGGCGCGGAGGAAGCCGAGGCGCAGGCCCGGGGTGTGGGGACAGGCCGTCTCCCCAAAACTTTGCGGTGCCAGGACCCCTCCCTTACCTGCAGAGGAGGTGCCGCCCGCGCGGACAAGGACCTAGCGGGCTGACGCTCTCGGAGAAGGGCGGCCCCGCCCAGCGGCGGGCACGGTCGCGGCCAAGGCTCGGGAAGCAGCGCTGCTCGGGCTCGGCTCGGGCTCCGCCTCCCGCGCCGAGGCTGCAGCCGGAGGGGTTGGCCGGGCCGGGCCGCGCCCGCGCCGTCTGGCGGCGGCAGGTGCTGAGGCTGCAGCTGCGCGGCCGCCAGCTGCCGGCGCCGCGACCCCCGCCCCGGGGGAGGAGCCCCGCGCGCCGCCTCCGCTGGCTCCGAGGTCCCGGCCCGCCGCAGTGGGCGGTCCCGCTCCCACCCGGGCCCTGCCTCCGCCGCCTGCCTCAGCTCACCGCCGGGGCACGCAGCGTCCGCTGAGTACCCAGGGGGGAGACTGAGGCTGGGAGAGGAAAGGGACTCCCCAAGGTCACCCGGACCAGCGGTGGTTGGGCCAGAACTGGAACCCAGAAGAGTTCCCAAAACGACCCCCTTCTCACGCCTCCTTTTCCCCAGGAAGAGCCCCAGCTACGGGGAGCCCTGGGGGACTCGCCCCCTGACCCCCACGCCCCGCAGGTGTTCGGCTGAAGGGAGAGGGAGAGCGTGGGCCCACGGTAGGCACTGTGGACCACCTCCCCTGTCTCTGTAAACTCCTTCCGCGCTGGGAAACTGTGTTCTCCTAGCTTTCCTCGGCCCTCTCCAGCCACTCCCTCGGTCTCCTTGAGGGTTCCTCAAACCAGAAGCTCTAAAATGCCGGAGCGCCCTGGGACTCTGCACTCAGCCCTTTTCTGACCCCCTGAGCCGTCTCACCCACTCCCCTGGTTCTGGTCCTACCGCCTCTCTGAGCATGATACCCAAATGCATGTGTCTGTGCACTATTTTCCGTGCTGAACTCTACTGAACACCTACGAGGTCCATATCCTGCATTAGACACTGGAGATACAATACACCTTTAATAAAGCAGTCCCTGTCCTCATGGAATGTACAGTCTAGGACTATTAAAATACAGTCCAGTTCCTGTAACAATAACCCAATCCCACGGGGCCAAGGGCACCACTCAGGCCTGCACTGACTGAGTGAAGGCCTCCTGGAGAGGGCATGCTCTAAATGGAAACCTGAAAGGCCAGTGGAATTGGCCAGTGAAAGGGAGGAGTGTGGAGAGAGCCTTTCAGGTTGAGACCACAGGAACAAAGACCCCAAGATGAGAGAGATCCCACAGAGGGAGTGGCAGGAGTTGAGACATAAAGCAGGGGAGTCAGCAGGGGCCAATTCCTGGTCAAGGAGTTTGCACCGTGTTCCCAGTGCACTGGCAGGTTCATGGGAGGAGTTCTGAGTAGGGTTGAGGCACCATCAGACTGGGATGTTAGATCATTCTGGGGATGGTGCACAGGCAGATGTTAACAAGTGCATCCTTCATCCAAGGGCGGTGGGGGAAGACTAGCAGCACTTTGGAGCCAACATCGTCTGGATGAAGGCAGGTGCTCCTCCTTTGTGACCTTCATTTCCAAATCCAGGAGTCCATCCAGAAACTCCTGAGTGGCTCCATCGCTGAAAGACCTCCTACGTAATTGCACCCAAAGCTCCCTTTTCTGTCAGTGCCCCAGCCCTCTGCCACCCAGATCCACGGGCTGAGTGAGCCTTTTGCTTTCCTCACCCGTCTTTGTAGTATACAAAGTTCTGCCCCAGGAGACAGAAGCACCATAAGGGTGGAAGATTCTGAAGCCATAGTGGAAATAATGAAAGCTTTTTAAAAATCAAGTATTCTGGCTCTCTGAATTATTTCTTAACAATTGCATGTGAATCTACAATTTTCTCAAAATAAAGTTTAATTTTAAAAATTATTTTGTAGATAAAGATTAATCATCAAATTACTCTCTCCAAGGCAGTTAAACACCAAAAAGCATAGCACTTGTCAGAAAGTAAGATAAGAACTATTCTCTTGTCCGGTGAGTACAAATGTTCCCCATGGAATTTTGCCCTGTCCCCCTCCATTTCCTAGCTACCTGCGTCAGTGTCAGCCTCTCTAGGTGCCGGACCCAGCCCCTAACCCCGCTCTCCTCAGATTCTCATTCTGGTCCCTCTTGCCCCTCAGCCTCCTTTACCATTGCCCTCATGTCCCTCCTTGGCCTTTCTCCCTTCACTCTCACCAGGCAATTCTATCAGCTGCATGGTTTCAGCCAAACCTTCTGTCTTCCAAACCCAGAGACACAACTGCCTGCTGGACATCGCCTAAATGTCCCTCAGGTGCCCCACTCTCAACACAGCCAAAACCAAACCCACATCTTACCCCCAAATTACCCCTTTTGCATTGCTTCCCTATCTCAACTGGTAGTGGCACTTCCTTCCTCTGGGCACCTAAACTAGAAACCAAAGGGACAGTCTAGACTCTTCCTTCTTCCTGGCCTTCATACTCTACTGGACACTAAGTCCAATCAACTCTGTCTCCTTAACTTCTCTTACACATGTCTCCTCCCCCTCATCCTGCCGCCCTTGCTTTCGTTGGAGCCTCACCATTTCTTGCCAAGGCTGTAGTAACCGCCTCCAGTCTTTCCTATTTTCATCCTTCACATACTGCCAGTGATCTTTTTCAACCACAGACCTGACCAGTGACTCTCCTGCTGAAGACACCTCCATTGTTCCTTCTTGATCGTGCAGCAAAGTCTTAACTCCTTAGCATCACGTGAATCCACAGTGATCCTATTACCCGTGTGGCGCCATCTCTACCTCACCCCACACCTGCACACCAAACACCTTATGTTCTTAGGGTACCTTATGTAATAAGAGACACATAACATAGTGTTAAAAAAAAATGTAGTCTTGAGCCAAACTGCCTAGGTTCAAATCCCAATGCTGCTTTTTAACCTATGTAATTTTGGAAAAGTTCCATAACCTCTCAGTTCTTGGTTTTTTTCCTTTGCAAAGGGAGCATAATAAGAATACCTACCACCTAGGAGTGTTCTAAAAAATAAGAGTTCCTGGAGACGAAACAGCATTCATTACTTGCTAGCCAGCACTATTAGGAATGCTTCTAATCATTATATGCGGTGAGGATTACCCTACTTATTTTACAGAGAGAAGGAAACTGAGGCTCCAAGAAGTAAAGTCGCTTACCCAAGATTCCACAGCTTTAAAATAGCTGCACTGGGATTCATATGAAATTCTAAATCCTATACTGCTAAATACTTTACATAAGCTATTATTGCTTCCTTGTTTTTCTAACCTTTAACCCAACCTATTGGACAAACTTCTTCTTCCTTTAAATCCTGGTCAAAAATATCTTGTCCTCCATGAACTCTTCCCAGTCCTTGCTTTGAGCCTCTGCTGTACTTATGTACAGCATACAGCAAATAAAGCACGCAGCACACCCATTACAATGATTTGTTTACACGTCTGTCTTCTTGAGACCTTCTTGAGAAATACAATGTCTTATTTATTTTTGCCTTCCTATAATCCCATAAATATTTATTGAATGAATGAATAAATCAACAAATAAAGTATATATGTTTCTCAAGTTTTACCCTAACAGCTGTCATTTGGATATAGATTACTTTTTTTTTTTTTTTTTTGAAACGGAGTCTCGCTCTTCGCCCAGGCTGGAGTGCAGTGGCGCGATCTCGGCTCACTGCAAGCTCCTCCTCCTGGGTTCACGCCATTCTCCTGCCTGAGCCTCCGGAGTAGCTGGGACTACAGGTGCCCGCCACCCCGCCCGGTTAATTTTTTTTTGTATTTTTAGTAGAGACGGGGTTTCACTGTGTTAGCCAGGATGGTCTTGATCTCCTGACCTTGTGATCCGCCCGTCTCGACCTCCCAAAGTGCTGGGATTACAGGTATGAGCCACCGTGCCTGGCCTAGATTACTTTCAATCTCTGTTTTTGTCACTCTGAAGAGTCATTTTTGGTGAGAGGATAGCATCAAATGATCTAATATTAATATAGAACAAGATATAGCAAGAATGAAATTTCTCATATTGCTATGTGGTTGTGCCTTGTCCCTCTCTGAGTCTCTCCTTTTTTTAGTGACACCATGTAATAGCCCATAAGGACAAGCTGTGTTGCATCCTAATGAGACTTCCTGACTCAAACATCTGAGATTCAAATTTATTTCCCATAAGTACCATTTCAGCTAAAAGTTTGCTTTCTCTATGGCAATGAGTATGCCATTTGTCATCTGCTAAGTGCCCATACCTTCCCCTTACCTGTATCAATCTCCTTTGCACTCAAATACTTCTGAGAGCTGACTTAATAGTGCTTTTCTATACAATTTCCTTCTTAGAATGCCTAACTCTTCCTGACCTCATATCTATTGTTCCCAAAATAGAATCATTTACTGCTTCAAATTTCAGCTTTACTGTCTGCAGTGATTTAGGACAAGTTTCTGTTCTTCTTCAGAATGATCAAATTCCTTATGGTTAAAAAAACCTCGACCCTGTCATTTTCTATGGAGTAGTGTTTTTAAATGTTTTTAAGTGTTTTCGATGTTAGAAATATTTATTTTGTTTACCTGAACACAAGTAAATTGGCAATTTTAATGCCTGCAGATCAAATTAATGAGAAGTAGTATGGGTGAAAGAAAGAACACTGTATGGAAAGCAGAGGGGAAAGGAGCTCTAGGAGTGCTCTGCCACCAAGTCCCCTCACTCTTCAAGTCTCAGCAGAATGGAGGAATGGGACCAGAATGACCTTCCAGGTCTCTTTCAGATCTAAAACGACATGATTCCTTAATGGGCCTCTAAGTGGTTATTCATTCATTCAGTCAACATTGTTGAGTGCCTACTACAGACTTAAGCCTTCTGAAGTGAATCCACATTGGATAGGGGATGAAACGGTTTGGTTAAGAGAGTGTTATTACACCACATAAACTGTATGTTCTTAATATTCAAGGTCTTATGCAGAAATATAATGAGACAGTTACATCAAGGCTTCAGTGAGCCAAGACTCAGGGACTACTGGAGTACTGCGAGAGGGTTATTAAAAATAGCCCTCTCTGATATCTATGCCAGCACTTCTGCTGAGCTACTTGTAGAAAAGCAGTGCCCTAGCGTTCTAGACCCTAATTCTGTCCCTCTCTTGCTATGTGGCTATGGGAAAATCGCCTCACCTCTCTGAGCTACACTTTACTCCTCTATAAGAAGAGGCAATGATACCTGATGACAACCAATGTTCCCTGAGCCCTAAACCAAATGATTCTTTGAGATTAAGGAAGCTAAAGTGTTATAGTCACAAAGAGAAGTACTGCTGTTGGCAAAAGAAATTGGGTGATTATCATGAGGATTATATTACCTCTTAGGGACAATTAGATTGTTGCTTTACAGAGAGAAAATTTGACAGAAAAACAATATGTTCTTACTCCCAAGATTCTAGGACACAGAAGCAGACATTCACTGCTCACTTCTTAAAAATGAATTGTCCAATTCACTGTATAATACTAAGAATAGGGAGTTGAGCTAGAAAGTTCATTATCTGTGTACTGGTGAAGAGAGATCAGTCTCCCAACACCCTCCAGACCTTGCTTGACTGTTTATCATAGTCGTTCTCTCAAAGATGATCTATTTTTACCTTTTTTTTTAGTGGTAGGGCAGGAGGATGGAAAACATGTCTGATATCTGGATTTATTCCTTAGCTCTCATCTAAGCCTTGTCTGCTTATATTTCTTTTCCTGTTCCTAATCGCATTCTCTGCTCCTTGATAAAACTGGTATTCGAATCTATTGCTAATGTAATGGACATAATGACTCAGTTAGAAACAGAGGAAGGCAATAAGATATTTGTATAGAATTGGGAATGATTATCACAAGTTTTAAAAAATATTCAAGCTCTTTATGTCTCTTGTCAGATGAATTTTTATCTCATTCCTTAAGTGATAAATCTTTCAGTGTTTTGAGAGGCAGCTTTGAAAAGATAGGACTGGGTTCAGCATCTATTACTCCTGCCTTTTTATCTCTTTTGTAAAATTCTCTCTCTCTCTTTTTTTTTTTTTTCTGCTGGCTCAGCTCCTGGGAGATCAGCTCCCCAGAAGAAGGCATGTCTTGAGGTTGTGGCCAGCATCAAGTGTGGCCCTACCCTGGTCTTGACAACTACATCTGGCCACTTCCCATAGGCTTCATTCTGCTTTGCATCTGCTGGGTGACTGCAACTCCCCACTACCACCGTGCTCCCCACAGCCCCCGGGGGCAGATGCCACCCTCTCTAGCACTATTTTCTTCATCTCTTTACTTTTGCATAGACTTTTCAGTTTGTAAAACACCAAACAGAGCAATCATCTCATCTTATTCTCTCAACAGCTGCTTGAGTTAGGCAGGACACACATGACAATCCCCACTTCACAGATGAAACTGAGGCAAGCTCAGAGAATTCAAGCGACTGGTATGAGGTCACAGAGCTGGTAAATGGGATTCAGATTCAGGTTTATTTGGGAAACTGAGCTCTATTGTTGGGGAGGAAAGATGGCTGTATTAGAACTGTGTTATAGAGAAACTTCCTAAATCACCTTAGCGTGCCTACCCAGGGGGCTTCTCTGAAGATGGGGGGCCACCTTCCAAGCCCTTCTCTTACCCAGCTCCCTGCTGAGGGGACCCAAATTGTGAGCCATACAGTGAATGGGGCATAGGACACTGTTGCCTATAGCTGGAGCCCAATCCCACACAGACAATCGCAGTGCAGGATTGGCAAAGGGCGGTGTTGCTGCCACACCGTCCACCATTGCAAGAAGGACAAAGGCCCAGGAGCCTGAGAACTAGTCAGCCTCGCTAGTGAGTCTGCAGTGAAGGCTTTCAATCCTGGGCTACCTGAGGGGCCCAGCTACCCCAACTAAGCAGGACCTCTCAACAGGAGAGGAAGAACTGTCCCTGCCCACTTCCTGCAAATAGCTCTGTGGGAAGACCCCTGACTCTGTCAAGACCTGCCTCTGTAGAACCGAATGTCACAGGTGGACCAAACTATCCCTTCAGGGTCACACCTAGCCCACACAGCATCTTTATGTGGGTTAGAAAAAAGCTTCCCCTCTCAGATACCTTTGTGAAAATGAGAAAATATGCTTCCTTCCTTTGGGCCAATGTAGCTCCACACTAGGGTACACAGCTCAGCAAGTGGATGTTGGCTCCTATTAATCCTCTCCACCAGATGCCCTTGCAATAAGCAAACTACACAATGGCACACAGCAGCGCAACCCCACCCTATTAATTCTGGGAGTGTCCAAAGATCCTAAAAGCTTCTTCCACCTCACCTCAGCCTGGTGGACCCAGCCAGGTAGCTTTGTTCACCACCAGGCCACTGGAGAAGCATCATTCTTTCCTTTCATGATCGCTGAACTATTGTACCCAAGAGGCCACAAAAGCCCAACTTACCCACTTGTGGATATAAGTAGCCAAAGCAGATCAGAGATTATTTAAAGGGAGTCAATAGCTTGAAGGAGCACAACCAAGACAAATAACTAAAAGAGAGGAATCACATTGAGATCAATTTAATAGAAGAAAAACTAACTTTTTAAAATCAAAAATGTAAGGAGATTCAAGCAGAGACTAGAAAGAAATGATCAAAATGAGGAAAAATTGTTTTTGAAAGTTAAATACACAATTTTTTAAATTTGCAATTGTGGAAATGAAAAATGTAATGAACACCACTGAAAACTGATTTAATGATCTGAAAGATGAAAAAGGAGAACTACCCCACAGTACCAAACCAAAATTAAAAAGAAATAGAAATTATGAGTCAGAGGGTTTTAAAACATTGATGAAATATCTAGAAGATATGCAAATAATAGTACCAAATGGAGGAAAAAAATAACAAAGGAGCAAAGCAATAACCAAAATATAATAGAAAAAAAGACTAAGCCCATAGTCTTGAATTATCAGATAAAATGTATGCACTTGAATTACCTATACATTAAATGTATGGACTTGAGTTATCAGGTAAAAAAGACTCTAATTTCTACACTGTATTAATTTTAAAACACACACCTAGAACTTCCAGTCCTGGGCATTTCACTGAAAAGGGTAAAATGTCAGGAGCAGTAGACTGTAATAAGTTATTTATGTATGATTTAATACTTGAGCAACAACTTTAAAAACTATACAGAGAGATACACTCAAAAATACTTTAGATAAATCAAAGTAGAATTCTTTAAAAAGCCCAAGTACTCCACAGGGAGGCAGGAAAAAGAAAAAAGAGGAGTGAGAAATGGGGAACAAACAGATGGGAGAGAAAGCTTCCAAGACTTTCCCCTGTGCAGAAAGAAAAGAAATAACAACATAGCAGAGTTAAGTGCTAACATTTTAGTAATTATATTAAATGTAAATAATCTAAATACACCAATTAAAAGACAAAGATTGGCAGAATGGATATTTAAAAATATATCCTGGTGAAATTTCTGAACTCCTAGAATAAAGAGTAAATGTCATGAGCTTCCAGGCAATGTGAATAGCTTACCGAAGGAGGAAACAGAGCCCTCTGGAATTATGGATCCCACAAATCGTCCTTGCCAAATTTTATTGAGACCTAATATTTGTTAGGCACTGTTCTAAGCGGTTTATCTCATTTTAATAACCCTATGAATTATATATTAATATCCCCACTTTATAAATGAGAAAACCAAGGCCAAATGTTCCCCTGGTCACTCAACTAGTAAGAGCTTGGATTCAAATCCAAGAAATCTAGTGAAAGAAACTAAATAATAAGTCCAAGTCAGCTATTGAAGGGGAGAGGGATGATAGAGCTTCCAGGCAGAGAGAACAGCCTATGGGAAGGCTCTAAGGATGGAAAGGAACACCTATTAGATGCTATGTATTTTTAATATACTAACACAAAAACTCCAACAAGCAAGTATCATGTGTCTTTTTTGCAGACAAAGAGACTCTACATGGTTAAGTAACCTGCTCAAGATCATCCAGATAGCTGGTGTTGGTGATTGAGTCAGAATTTAAATCTGGGAGGGTTCTGCTACCCTCCTCTGTTCTGTCAACAGGTGAAAACAGCTTTTGGAGCATATTTCCCATGGTGATTGTCTTTCTCACTCCAATAGTTTTGCTGTAGTGATCCAGAAATTTAAATTTTAAAGAGCAAAGGGCCTGTCCTACCTTTCTAGGTTATTTTGGTCAAGCCTGCTCTGGGTCTGAGAGATCTTCACCTACAAAACATAGAATTGGACTATATCAGTGTTTTTCCAACTTTGGTAGGATTCTATATTCAACTCAAATCCTACTAAACAGAAGCCCCTTGTAGAGTACAGGCATAAGCAGAGTAAATCTAAATGAAAGTAACTGGGGGATGTTGGGGAGGCACTAGACTAGCCTGGACCCCCTCCAGCTAACACATTCCCTAAATTCTGGAAACAGTGCATGGACAGTCCCCAGACGCAGGGGAAAGTCTTGGAAGGTTCCTCTCCTATCTTCGGTGTAGGATAGGGAGAGGGAGGGATGATCTAGATTTTCTTAAAAACAAGGCTTTATTCATGTTTTGTTACTATGTACTGTGTACTGCAACACTGTGTCAGCCTGTTCTTTGAATCAGAGGGGGATGTTCTGGAAAGGATCTGGGCCGTGGAGCCAGAGGTAGCTTGAATGCCAGCTCTTGTTAGCTTTATGACCTTGGACAACTAATGTAACCTCTCAGTTTTCTCATCTTAACACACAGATAATACTGACCTTGAAGGGTGTTGTGAGAATTAAATTAACTAGTAAGGATAAAGCACCTAGCACAGGCTCTGGGGTGTTGCAGGCATTCAATAAATGGCAGCTATTGTTATACATTTTGAAACTCCCAGATCTTGACACTTTTAAGTCTGCCTTGTCTTTTGAAACTGGTGGAGTTTGGGTCTTTCTTTCTTCCTTTTTTCCCTTCATTCTTTTTTAGGCAAATTGACTGGTATTAAGAAAGATGATACTTCTTGCAAAGGAAGTTTCCATAAAAATAACATGGTCTGTAATCCCAGCACTTTGGGAGGCTGCGGTGGGCAGATCACTTGAGCTCAGGAGTCCAGGACCAGCCTGGGTAACATGGCAAAATGCAGTCTCTACAAAAAATACAAAAGCAAGCTAGGCCTGGTGGTGCATGCCTGCAGTCCCAGTTACTCAGGTAGCTGAGGCGGGAGGATGGCTTGAGCCCAGGAGGTCAAGGCTGCAGTGAGCCCAGATTTTACTGCGCTCCATTGCACTCCAACCTGGGTAATAGAGCGAGACCCTGTCTCTAAATAAATAAATAAATAACATGGTGACTTATGAAAAACCATGTACTTATTGATGCCACTGAAGACATTATGTGTTATTTTCATAATCTGGATCCTGATTAATGACCAGTACACATGCTGATTAACCTGAAACCAAAGAGCAAATACTCACAAAATAATTCATTGTTAAAACATAATTTTTTTTCAAAAATAAAGGATGATTTTATGAGTCTACTATTGACAGACAAAGATAACCTTACTTCACAGCCTTCCTGTCTTAAAATAAGTAATGTCTGGTGCATCATTATGTAGTTGGAGGCCTAGCCCGACCTTCCAGAGCGTAGGAAGCCTAGGAGTATACTTTACTGAAGACTAAAATCATGGCAGATTTCCTACAATGGACCATGAATTCCTGCCACCTCCCATGAAGCTTAATGGGAGAACATTTCAGAGCATATGGTACTTTGTCAACTGATACTAATGTGTCCATTAGTGCAGCTCCAGAGGGAATTTCAGTCTGTGCCCAGAGAATGGTCACTTGGGGAACAGAAATAGCTACTTATTTAACCCCTTCTTCCCCCATAACTCTGTCCTCGGTTCAGCCACCCCCTCCTGCTTCAGCCCTACCAGGAACAGGCATAGAATAGGGGTATGCCATTAATGGCATCTGTGTTACCTACACTGAACCATAATCCCTTAACACGCACCACCTTGATGTCCTTTGGAGCCCTTATGCAGACAATATCTCATTTGACCTTCATAATACTCCTGAGTGAGGTATCGGTATCCAATTTCACAGCTGAGGAAAACAGGAACACACAGCAGTTAAACCATTTGCTTGAGGCCAGAGGTAAGTGAGTGACAGAGCTATGCTTAGTCCCAGTGCTATTCCCCAAACTCATGCTGGCTGTATAGAGGCATCTACTTGGCCTGACTGAGTTCTGTGAATTGTTTTGCAAGGTGTGGCCCAGATTAAGTATATGCAATTCTGTTCACTCATTCAAGTAAAATTTTATTTTTTACTTGAGCTCAGGAGTCCAGGACCAGCCTGGGTAACATGGCAAAACGCAGTCTCTACAAAAAATACAACAGCAAGCTAGGCCTGGTGGTGCATGCCTGCAGTCCCAGTTACTTGGGTGGCTGAGGCGGGAGGATGGCTTGAGCCCATAAGCTCCCAGCTTATGGGTAAGGCACTGTGCTAAGTGAGGTGGAATAGTGTCCTGGGAAGTGCATAGACACTGGAGTCATCCAGCCCATGGATGTATGGACATCCTGGCCTTAGTAAGTGCTCATAAAATGCTAGTTACTTTTACTGAGAGGTGTTACGAAGGATACAGAGATGAATCAGACATGGTCCTGACCTTCAAAAAGCTCTACTAGGAGACATAATGTATGTCTTCAAATAACTGTGATAGAAAGTAGAATGTGCTTTTTATCATCAGAGGTACAGAAAACTTCTAGGGCCAAACTATGGGTTGAGGTGTCCTGCAGAGCCACAGCAAATTCACAGGGTTACAATGGGATATTTAATTTTTCAAGGGAAACATGGCGACACCCAGAATCTACTGGACATGTGCAAACTACTAGCTCCAGGCAGTTCTCAGATCATGTTGCATTCCTATGACATCATACCCTTGCAAAGCTGAGTTTTTGTTAGTCGCTGTGATAAAAAGCAAGCACTTTTTTTGTGCAAAACCCAACATGGAACAGGAAATGTGTCCAACCTGATCCAAGGTTTGAGAAGTTGTACAGCATCCAAGAGGCACACACATCCCATTAGTAACTTACCGTGGTTATTTTAAAATTAAATAAAAATATAATATTTAAAATGTATGTGCACTTTTTTCAAACAACTACTAAATTATTAGGACTTCAATGCTTATTAAGTTGTTTGGATCTAACTACTTAACCTATGGAACTGTTACACATTTATTTTTACCTGGGAGTGCTACGAAAAATTACTGTGGGCACCACGAAACAAGAAAGTTGGGGAACCTCTGCTCTCAGGGATTTCATAGCAGGAAGTCACTTTGAGAGGAGAGAGCTGGAACTGTGAAGATCAGGATAGACTTTGAGGAGGAAGTAAAGCCAACATTTGAAGCAGGTGCTTTACCAAAGTAGGGGTGCTAGAACACATTATAACAGTTTATAATGGCTCTTCCCTGGGAGCACTCAAGATCTTACTAAGTGGGGAACTTGCAGAATTTTTAGTAAGCCCACCAGTTGAAAAGGCCTCCTTTTCTTATCAACTTTGAAGAGTAAAGGATTTAGAAAATATCTCCCATGAGGTTGCAAGCAGGAGACATCCTCGACTTTCTGCACCATGGTCCCAAGATAAGACCCCCCTCTCTGGGATGATACATAAACAAAAGTTGTTTAATACAGCAAAGATTTACTAAAATGGGATCAGTTCCTGAAAATCTGTGGGCAGAGTTTTATAATCAGACAGGTGGGCAGCCACCTCCCTGGCATTGTCAGGCTGCTCTCCAGGCCACAGAGACATGGACTACCCATAACGCAAGTCCTTTCATTAAAAACCATAAACCAGGCCAGACGCAGTGGCTCACACCTGTATTCCCAGCACTTTGGAAGGCCGAAGCGGGCAGATCACCTGAGGTCAGGAGTTCGAGACCAGCCTGGCCAACATGGTGAAACCTGTCTCTACTAAAAATACAAAAATTATCCAGGCGTGGTGGCCCATGCCTGTAATCCCAGCTACTCGGGAGGCTGAGGCAGAAGAATCACTTGAACCTAGGAGGCAGAGGTTGCAGCGAGCCGAGATAACGCCAGTGCACTCCAGGCTGGGCGACAGAGCAAGACTCCGTCTCGAAAGAAAAGAAAAGAAAAGAAAAGAAGGAAAGAAAGAAAGGAAAGAAAGAAAGGAAGAAAGAGAGAGAAAGAAAGAAAGAAAGAAAGAAAGAAAGAAAGAAAGAAAGAAAGAAAGAAAGAAAGAAAGCATACACCATTTTCCTTTGAAATCAGAATTAAAATCCCACCGTTGTTGTGGGTTATTCAAAAGCTAACACTCAGTGATCTCTTTTCTCTCTTGCACACTTTTTTCACTCACTATCCGCGCAACCATTTGTCCTTGTGTAACACTTTACACTTCTCAATGCACCTTCCCACCTAGCATGTCCTTTTACCCTCACAATCATTCTGAAAGGCAGAAAGGACAGATGATATAGCTCCTGTCTTACGGATGAGCAATCCTGGGCCTGGAGAGATTAAGTGATGGCCCTGGAACTTTTCTAGTCTATGCTTATGCTAAGTGAAAGAAGCCAGACTCAAAAGCTACATACTCTATGATTCCATTTATTTAACAAAGGCAAAACAATAGGGACAGAAAACAGATTAGTGCTTGCTTGCCAGAGTGTAGGGGTTAGGGGAAGAAGCAAGGGGGAATTTTAGGGACTGATGGAACTATTCTGTATCTCTGTGGTGGTGGTGGTTGCACAACCGTGTATGTTTATCAAAACTCACAGAACTGTATACTAAAAAGGGTGAATTTTATTAAATGCAATTTTACTTTAATTTCTAAAATTGAAAAAACATCGGCGGCCACCATCTTGGAACGGGAGGCGGAGCAGAGCCGACTGGGAGCGACTGAGCGGGCTTCCGCCGCCGCCATGAACCCCGGATATGACTGCCTGTTTAAGCTGCTTTTGATTGGCGACTCAGGCGTGGGCAAGTCATGCCTGCTCCTGCGGTTTGCTGATGACCCTTACACAGAGAGCTACATCAGCACCATCGGGGTGGACTTCAAGATCCAAACCATCGAGCTGGATGGCAAAACTATCAAACTTCAGATCTGGGACACGGCGGGCCAGGAACGGTTCTGGACCATCACTTCCAGCTACTACCGGGGGGCTCATGGCTTCCTCGTGGTATATGACGTCACTGACCAGGAATCCTATGCCAACGTGAAGCAGTGGCTGCAGGAGATTGACCGCCATGCCAGCGAGAACGTCAATAAGCTCCTGGTGGGCAACAAGAGCGACCTCACCACCAAGAAGGTGGTGGACAACACCACAGCCAAGGAGTTTGCAGACTCTTTGGGCATCCCCTTCTTGGAGACGAGTGCCAAGAATGCCACCAATGTCGAGCAGGCGTTCATGACCATGGCTGCTGAGATCAAAAAGCAGATGGGGCCCGGAGCAGCCTCCGGGGGCGAGCGGCCCAATCTCAAGATCGACAGCACCCCTGTAAAGCCGGCTGGCGGTGGTTGTTGCTAGGAGGGGCACTGGAGTGGGACAGGAGGGGGCACCTTCTCCAAATGATGTCCCTGGAGGGGACAGGAGGTGCCTCCCTCTTCCTCTCCTGGGGCATTTGAGTCTGTGGCTTTGGGGTGTCCTGGGCTCCCCATCTCCCTCTGGCCCATCTGCCTGCTGCCCCGAGCCGCTATTCTGTCAGGGTCCCTAAGGGAGGACACTCAGGACCTGTGGCCAGGCAGGGCGGGGGCCTGCTCTGCTGCTGCCTCTAGGTGACTTTCCAAGATGCCCCCCCTACACACCTTTCTTTGGAACTAGGGCTCTTCTGTCGGTCTCCCTCCCACCCCCATGTGTGCTGCACTGGGTTTCTCTCCTTCCCCTTCTTCCTGCTGTCCTTCTGCCCAAGAGCTGAGGGTCTCCCCGGCCTCTACTGCCCTGGCTGCAGTCAGTGCCCAGGGCCAGGAGTGTGACCAGGGGATCCAGGGCCCTGGGCTGGACCTCAGGACAGCCATGGAGGCCACAGGGGCCCAGCAGCCCACCCTTTCCTCTCCCCACTGCCTCCTCTCCCCTCCCACACTCCCAGCTCCAGCCGTCCAGCTGCGGTGGGGTCTGAGTATATCGAGGGCGGCTGGGCGGGTAGCGGCGCTGGGCCTGTGTCTTGAGCCTGGAGAAAGTCTGCTCCTGCCGCCCTCTGCCCTGCCAGAGACAGACCCACGCGCTGCCTGCCCACCGTGCCCCTTAGTCCCCATGTCAGGCGGAGGCGGAAGGCCCACCGTGCCAGAGGCTGGGCACCAGCCTTAACCCTCTCACTGCTAACACCTCCTCCCTTTCCCCGAGGCAGCACACCTGGCTCACTCTCCCCTCGGTCTCTGGAGCCCACCAGGGAAGGCCCTCATCCCCTGCCGCTACTTCTCTGGGGAATGTGGGTTCCATCCAGGGTTGGGGGCCTCTCTGCCCACCCACTCTGCACCCAGGATCCTAGTCCCCTGCCCTCTGGTACAGCTGCTTCCTGCAGGAAAGCAAGTCTTTGGTCTCCCTGAGAAGCCATGTCCCTCGTGCTGTCTCTTGCCTGTCCCACCTGTGCCCTGCCCTCCAGCTTGTATTTAAGTCCCTGGGCTGCCCCTTGGGGTGCCCCCCGCTCCCAGGTTCCCCTCTGGTGTCATGTCAGGCATTTTGCAAGGAAAAGCCACTTGGGGAAAGATGGAAAAGGACAAAAAAATTAATAAATTTCCATTGGCCCTCGGGTGAGCTGAGGGTTTTTGCAAGGAAAACAAAAAAAAAGAAAAAAACATCAAACCAGTTCAAAAAAAGGGGAGTCAGAATGTCTAATGAGGAATTAAATTGAATGCCAACTTCTGGGCAATACTAATCTCCACCTCTGTTTCCGCTAGAAAATATCAAATAAATTCAATTGAACATTAATGGTATATAAAATGGCTCTGTTCAGAGGGGACTTATAAAGAAATTTTGAGTGCTTTCTTCAAGGTTGGTGCAAGGTTAAAAGAGAGGCTACCCATAGAGGACAGCCAATACATGGACAATGCAGTTCATTTTAAATGCAAATTAAAATGAATTCTCATTTCTCCACTGTCATAATGGCAATTTCAATAGTATCTGAAGAGTAAGAATGAGTCAAAAGACAATGGATCAATGTCTTCAAAATTCTGAGGGAATTGTTTTCCACCTAAAATTTCATAGCCAGCCAAACAATTGGTCAAGTGGAGGACATAATAAAGATACTTTCATACTTTAAAAATCTCCAGAACAATAAGAACACATGGACGCAGAGAGGGGAACAACACACACCATGGCCTGTTGGGGGATTGGGGGTGAGGGGAGGGAACTTACAGGGTGGGTCAATAGGTGCAGCAAACCACCATGGCACACGTATACCTATGTAACACACCTGCATGTTCTGCACATGGATCCCTTTTTAAAAAAAAAAAAGAAGAAGAAAAAAAATCTCCAAAATTTTACCTTCCATGTATCTTGTCTTAGGAAACAACTGCAAGAGCTTCTGTAAAAAATTGAGAGTAAACCAAGAAGGAAAAAAGATATGGGTTTCAGAAAACAGAAGTGCAAAATAGAGGAGAATTGAAGGGAACTGGGAAGCGGCAGGACAAGAGCTGTGCATTGCAGCAGGGCTGGAAAACAACCATTCCAGATTAGCACAGGAAGGACAAGGATTATGAGAAGGAAGTTTGCATGGGAGAAAAGAACCACTGGTGTGTTTAAGCAGAAATCCAAATGTTGATAGGTACATCACATATATTTTGGAACACTTCAGGAAAACTAGTAATAAATACAGAGAAAATTAAACAAATGAGAAAAACACGCTAGAGAAATTACACCAAGAAAAGCTAAGGATTGTAAAAGAAAAGCTAAGGGTTGTATAAGATATGTACTTCTTGGCATAGCAGTGAAGGAAATTTGCAAAGTCATAATAAGTAAACACTGGCTATCAACTGAACAACAACAACAACAAAAGCAGTTAAATCTGGCGATTGATGAAGGTGGGAAGTGGGGAGACAGTATAAGAACTAAGAGCTCATCCTACCATAGCAGGAAATATGTTTCTATTATTTCTATGGGTAATGTTTAAAATTGATAAATTAATATATAATAGTATAAGCATATGATTTAGAAATGTGGAGGCAAATAAAATAGAAAAGAGAATAATTAAGTGTGGTTCCCTCCGGGGAGAAGAACAAAGTGTTAGAGAGAGATGGGGCAGGAGACTGCCATTCCTTTTTAAACACTGTTGTTAAACACCTCTATTATGGTGGGAACATTTATACCACAGAAATAAACTCCAAATCAGGGCTTTTTCTTTTATTTATTTCTTTATTTAGAGACAGGGTCTCACTCTGTCACTCAGGCTGGAGTAGAGTGATATGATTATAACTCACTGCAGCCTCAACCTCCCAAGCTCAAATGATCCTTTCACCTCAGCCTCCCAAGCAGCTGGGACTACAGGTGCATGCTACCATGCCCAGCTAATTTTTTTGTTTGTTTGTAGAGACAGGGTCCTGCTATATTACCCAGGCTGGTCTTGAACTCCTGGGCTCAAGCAATCCTCTTGCCTTGGCCTCCCACACTGCTGGGAATACTAGGCGTGAGCCACTGCACCAGGCTGCTTTTTTTCTTTCCCAGAGACCTAGTTTACAGCACACCACTGGTTCTCACTGGTTTCTTTTATAGAAGTATTACTTTGATACAAATAAAACTATTTAAAAAATAGGATGGTATTGCCCAGTTGTTATGAGGGCTTAAGAAAAAGAACTTTCTCATACACTGCAAGTGAAAGTGAAAATTGTTACACATTTCTAGAAAGAAATTTAACTATATGCATTAGAAGCATTTTAAAAATAGGCCAGGAGCAGTGGCTCATGCCTGCAATCCCAGCACTTTGGAAGGCTGAGGAGGGCGAATCACTTGAGATCAAGAGTTCCAGACCAGCCTGACCAACATGGTGAAACCACTGTCTCTACTAAAAATATGAAAATTAGCCAGGTGTGGTGGCAGGTGCCTGTAATCCCAGCTACTTGGGAGGCTGAGGCAGGAGAATCGCTTGAACCTGGGAGCAGAGGTTGCAGTGAGCCAAGATCATAATCATGCCACTGCACTCCTACCTGGGGGACAGAGCGAGAACTCCATCTAAGAAAAAAAGAAAAGAAAAATATATATATATATAATATATGTAGAAAGAAATATATGTATATATTTATATATAATATATGTAGAAAGAAATATATGTATATATTTTTATATATATAAAAGAAAAAATTATATATTATATATATACAGAAATTTATCTTCAGGAAATTTGTGGGGATTTTTTTAACCTGTCTAGCATCCCTCCCTTTGAGAACTCATCCCTTTCTTATTCAATACTAATCTTGTTTATCTATGTGATTTGAGGGCAGCTGACCCCACTCACAAGTTGCACTAAGGACTCAGTCTTGGCTAATTAGAGTACTGCAGCCCTGGCTGTAATGATTGGTTCAAGGATGGCATGTGACCCAGGCTGGGCCAATCAGTGTTTCCCCGAGACTTTTGCAGGAGCTGTCACAAAAAGGTTTTTTCTCTAGAATCGTGAGTTATGAAGACTACATAAGCTTGCAGCTGCCAGTGATGACCTTTACCACTTTGTGGAGAGAGAGCCTGCCTGCGAATAAAGCCTACGCAGAAGAGAGGAAAACTGAGATAGAGAAAGAGAAAGCTATAGCACTTGATGGCTTGCTTGAGCACTTGAATCCAGCCATGTTTGAAGCCAATGTATTCCTGAATTTTTCAGGTAATACCACAGTAAATTCCATTTTTGTTTAAAATAATTTGACTTGGTTTTCTGATACTAACAGCCTAAAGAGCTCTAATACAGAAAACACCACGAATAGGCCCAGTGATTTGTTAACAAGAATGTTCATCAACATATTGAACAGAATATTAGGAAATTGAATACAGGTTCAACAATAGGATACTGTTAAATTACGGTATATCCATTAAGTGGCACAATAAATGCCTTATTGTAGAAGCATAACTAATGACATGGAAAAATGTTCCCAATATATTTTTGAGTAAAAAAATGTAGGTTTAAATAGATGTGTTAAATAATCCCATTATTGTACATGCCGTATAGCCCATCTATGTATATAAAAACATTAGATACTGGCAGGACCAGCAATTTTTCTTCTTTTTATGACCAGTATATGTATTGTAATGAACATGTATTACTTCTCTTATCAGGAAAAAAATCATTAAAATTATTATCTTAACTGTTACTCAAGTTAGTATAAAGAAACATGGAGGCCAGGCACAGTGGCTCATGTCTATAATCCCAATACTTTTGAGAGGTTAAGGTGGGAGGATCACTTGAGGCCAGGAATTTGAGACCAGCCTGGGCAACATAGCAAGACCCTGTTTCTGCAAATAATTTAAATATTAGTTGGGTGTGGTGGCATGCGCCTGCAGTCCCAGCTGCTCAGGAGGCTAAGGCAGGAGGATTGCTTGAGCCCAGGAGGTCGAGGCTGCAGTGAGCTATGATCATGCCACTGCACTGTAGTCTGGGTGACAGAGCAAGGCCTTGTCTCTGAAAAGAGAAAAGAAGAAAGAAATATGGAATTTGTGAATTTATTATTCTAAACTGTATTGTTCAGTGACTCCAATATCAAGATGCACATTGGAAACGCTTTAGAGTTTACTGCTAAGAAAATTATTTGTCTCTTTCGACAAACCTCCATGCTTCCCTTAATCAGTTAATAAAAGCTATCTAACTCATCACACATTTCTTTTTGCCCAGGCTGCCAAGAAAATCAGTTACCTTTAATGCTAAGCGATGGCAAGTGTTTCACTGATAACAATAAATCCCATGGCTTCACAGCCTATCCTGCTGGTTTCCAGATCTGTATTTATGTACCATGCCATTCACCCATTGTAGGGATACTCTAAGTGCTTTTTTGCTTTTTTATTATTTTTTAGTTTGTTATTTTGTTTTTAATTTTCTTGCTTTTAACCATTTTTTCAACATCGAAGTGCTTTTTAACATGCTGTTCTTCCCTTCCTTTTCCATTCAGTGATCTCTTCTTCTTCAAGACCCAGGCGACATCAACTCCTCTGTGAAGTGACACCCAACAAGTGCAGACAGACTTAATTTTTCCCTTCCTCTGTAGGACTTCCTATTTACCTCTATGACAGCACTTAGCACATTACATTATAATTGTTGACATTTGTGTCACTAGAATGTGTGCTCCTTGAGGTCACGGTATGAGTCTAAGGCCTTTTCTATGCACGACACTGTCCAGAACACTAATCATTGCCTAGGAAAAAGTCAAGTTATCTAAAGGAAGCTATTCATCCCTGCACTGAATAACAGGGGACACCAAAATCATGGGAGCTCCACAAAGAACCAACTAAATACCTTCTGGATGAGTTTGTCAGAATGCCTAAACCGGGATGCACACTGTCCATGGTGAACCTAATTCCAGACACAGGGGTCATAAGAAAGTTTTAGACTTCTGAAAAAGCTATGGGTGAAAGTCTGGCCTCAAGCGATCTGACCACCTCAGCACATTGGGAGACCAAGGTGGGTGGATCACTTGAGGTCAGGAGTTGAAGACAAGCCTGATCAACATGGTGAAACTCCGTCTCTACTAAAAATAAAAAAAACAGCCAGGACTGGTGGCCCAAGCCTGTAATCCCAGCTACTCTGGAGGCTGAGGCAGGAGAATCGCTTGAACCAGGAGGCGGAGGTTGCAGTGAACTGAGATTAGGCCACTGCACTCCAACTTGGGTGACAGAGCGAAACCCTGTCTCATAAATAAATAAATAAATAAATAAGCAAAAAAGAAACGAAAAGAAAAAGAAAAAGAAAGAAAGCCTTACACAGAATAGCTTCTAGGGAACATCAACAGTGCCAACATTTCATTGGACCTAAGGCACTATCAATTGTAAGACATATTCCAATCTCAGAGGTTAAAAAGGTGTGCTTCTTAGAGAGTCAATAAGGTATGGCAAGTGCTATGGACCGAATGATTGTGTCCCCCCAAAATTCACATGTTGAAATCTAAACTCCAATGTGATGGGGATTTAGAAGGTGGGGCCTTTGACAGATGATTAGGTAATGAGGGTGAAGCCCTCACAAATAGGCTTAGTGCCCTTATGAAGGGGCTGAGGAGACTGGAGTTAGCACCTTCCACTCCATGAGGATACAGCAAGATGTCAGCAGTCCGCAACCCAGAAAAAGGTCCTCACCAGAACCCAACCATGATGACACCCTGATATTGAACTTCCAGCTTCCCAAGCTGTCAGGAATATATTTCCATTGTTGGTAAGCCACTCAGTCTACAGCGTTTTGTTATAGCAGCCCAAAAAAACTAAGACAGTAAGTTGCTTAATGCATGCCTCAAAGAGAAGCCAGGAGGAAGGCAGGGCAGGCTAGAGAACTCTAAATACTCTAAACTCTGAAAAGGTTATACAGGCCCACCAGGTCCCCATTCCTGCCCAGAGAATTTCAACATTTTTTTTAAAAAGCACTGAACTATAAACTAAGTATAAAGAGGTCCAGTAAAGTTCTGATATTTCCTGTGAGGATTACTTTAATGTTTTTAGGAAAGCATCAGGTATCAAATGTTTTCCAGACAAAATGATGTTGGCGGGTGGCCCTGCATTGCTACTGCCCTGAGCATGCAATTGGCGTGCCTACAATCGGTCATCTAGTACTGGAGGAAGCGAAGGTTGGGGGCTGCAACTCAGTCCACTCCATATAGAGCAGCCCCCACTCCACTCCATGACCATGCAGCTGTGAATGAGTGGCCTCCAGCACCAACATCTGCCTCAATTGCCTACATCTGCTTTGTGTGAGCTTCAGTTACTTCATTTATAGAAATGTAGACTGACTCATCCAGTGGGTCTCAAACTCGAATGTGCATCAGAATTATCAGCAGGGTTTGTTAAAAGTCAGATTGCTGGGCCCTACCCCAGAGTTTCTGATGTAGTAGAATTTCTTTTTTTTTTGGAGATGGAGTCTCGCTCTATCACCCAGGCTGGAGTGCAATGGCACAACCTCGGCTCACTGCAACCTCCGCCTCCCGAGTTCAAGCGATTCTCCTGCCTCAGCCTCCTGAGTAGCTGGGACCACAGGCATGTGCCACCACGTCTAGCTAATTTTTGTATTTTTAGTAGAGACAGGGTTTCACCATATTGGCCAGGCTGGTCTTGAACTCCTGACCTGAGGTGATCCGTCTGCCTTGGCCTCCCACAGTGCTGGGATTACAGGCGTGAGCCACCGCGCCCGGCCTGATATAGTAGAATTTCTAACAAGTTCCTAGATAATGGTGATGTTGCTGGTTCAGGGACCACACACTTAGAATCACTGACCTGATCTCCATTATTCATTTTATAGGGAAGACGCTGCAGCACCAGGAAGGGAAGGAGGAAGGAGCTTGCGAAAGATCACACACTAAGATTTTGGTCAAGTCAGGCCTAAGTCCCTTCTCCTCACTATGCTACATCAAGTGGCCATCCCTCAGGTAGGCAGGTTCCCTTAGCCGCCAGCCAGAGAGGCATGGTTAGGTTCTGATAAGCACTTTGCAGCTACAAAACTTGTTTTAGATTTAAATTTTAAATACAGTTGCTAATAATCCAATGAGACTCCTGGGATCATTAGGCTTATTAAGAAAACAAATCCATCCCATCAAAACTATTATTTCTGTTTGCTTTTAAAACTTGACTTCTCTTTCCTCCTCCTCCTCCTTTCTTTTTCTCTGTTTTTCTTTTTTCTCTCTGTCTACATTCTTCAGAGCAATTTGCAGTAAGATTTCCCCAAAGACTAATATGTTTACAAGTTCTCTTTTGTCCTGAGTCCAAGTGTTTCCTTCACATTTTCCGGTAAAACTCCATCCTGCTACTGCCTCATCCATTATCACAGAAGCAGAAGAAAGACACCTAGGGCTGGAAGTATTGGTGCACACAGCCTTGCAACATAAAGCCCTACAGAAAGCCTTCTGCAGAATTCCAAATTCACAGCAATTAGGTGAAAAGACATACCCAAGTAAAGCCTTGTTAGTCTGAAAATTAATGTTATCATTTAACACAGATTTTCTTAAATGTCTATTATGTGCAAAACAGCATGCCTCACTAGTAACTGGGGTCTGCCAGTACTGGGTTTTCCTTTTTGTCTGAGCCTTATTCTGCTTTTAAATGTGCCGTTATAAGTCACGGTCCTATTCCTGAGCACCTAATACATGTCCTTTGCATTGTTTAGGAGCTCAATAAATGTTTGTTGAATTGAGTTGAATTTAAACCTGGGTGGGCCCTGCTGATAATTATTAAGGACCTCTCATTTTCCCCATTACTTGGTAGCCTGAATAGGCTATATATTTTCCCAACCAAAGTCTGGCAACTTTATCACAGTACCTAAGTAAGAATCCTTCACCACCAAGTATCCCAAAACTAAAGGGATTAAGTGTAACCCACTTGGGGGAAGGCATAATAAAATAAAATTGAGCTGTTTAAAATGAAAAGTATAGCCCGGGCAACAAAGTGAGACCTTGTCTCTATAAAAAAAATAAAAATTAGCTGGGCATGGTGTGGCATGGGCCTGTAGCCAAGCTACTCAGCAGGCTGAGGCAGGAGGATCCCTTGAGCCCAGTAGTTGGAGGTTACAGTGAGCTGATTGTGCCACTACACTCTAGCCTGGATGACAGAGTGAGGGTTTAGCACTGTCTCAAAAATAAATAAAGTAAAATAATAAAATAATCTCAACAATGACTGGAGATGAAAGGAGAGGACTCTAACTCTTAAGACTCACTTGCACAGTGATGCAGGAAGGTGCCAGAGATATAAAGAGCAAGAAATAAAATTTTGTCAGGAGAGCTATTATTTCAGAAATTGAAGAAGGTAGAGGATTAAAAAGTAAACATGAAACTTATGGGGAGGCAAAGAGGTGTCTTGGGGATTTAACATGGTTCTTGAACAAAGAAGGAGGAAGATGAGGGAAATTCTGCAACTTGGGAAATTGAGGTAAGGGGCTAAAAGATGGAAGGCAGAGGACTTTAAACTGGAGCTGAAAGAGTGGAGCATGAAAAGACTATGCTTCTGCAGGACCATGGGAGCTGAAAGAAACAGCTCTGGGAAAACGCAGGAAAACCTGAGTCAGCAAAGATCGCCTCGAAGGTGGAGTAACTGGCAATGACTACAAAAGTCCAATTATGTGTGGAGCTCTGTTACATTAAAGGGAATGAAGACACACTTACAATCACTTGCAAAGCAGGTGTACTCTAAACCAGTACTGCTCGAACTTCAAAGTGCACACAAATCCCCTAGGGGCCTGCTAAAAAAGATATTTCATGGCCCCACACCCCAAAGATAATGATTCAGTAGGTATGTGGTAAAGCCCATAATTTACTTTTCTCTCTCTCTCTCTCTGAGACAGGGCTCTCTCTGTTGCCCAGACTGGAATGCAGTGGCCCGATCACAGCTCAATGCAACCTCTATCACCTGGGCTCAGGTGATCCTCTCACCTCAGCATCCCAAGTAGCTAGGACTACAGATGAATGCCACCACCTCCAGCTTTTTTTTTTTTTTTTTTTTCAGATACCAGGTCTGGCTGTGTTGCCCAGGCTGGTCTCAAACTCCTGAGCTCAAGCGATCTGCCTGCCTTGGCCTCCCAAAGTGCCCAGCCCTTCATTTAATTTTTTTTTTTTTTTTTTTTTGAGACTAAGTCTCTGTCGTCCAGGCTGGAGTGCAGTGGCACAATCTCAGCTCACTGCAACCTCTGCTTCCCAGGTTAAAGCAATTCTCATGCCTCAGCCTCCCAAGTAGCTGGGACTACAGACACGTGCCACAACGCCCAGCTAATTTTTGTATTTTTATTTTTATTTTTTTCAGATGGAGTCTCGCTCTGTCGCACAGGCTGGAGTGCAGTGGCGCGATCTCGACTCACTGCAGCCTCCGCCTCTGGGGTTCAAGCAATTCTCCCTGCCTCAGCCTCCCAAGTAGCTGGGATTACAGGCATGTGCCACCATGCCTAGCTAATTTCTGTATTTTTTAGTAGAGACGGGGTTTCACCATGTTGGCCAGGCTGATCTTGAACTCCTAACCTCAGGTGATTCGCCTGCCTCAGGCTCTTAAAGTGCTGAGATTACAGGCATGAGCCACCGCGCCCAGCCATGTTTGTATTTTTAATAGATACGGGGTTTCACCATGTTGGCCAGGTTAGTCTCGTGGTCTCCCAAAGTGCTGGGACTACAGGCGTGAGCCGCCGCTCCCGGCCCTCATTTACATTTTTAACAAGCTTCCTGGTAATATAGCTGCTGCTGATCTGCAAACCTCTCCTTGTGAGGCGCTGCAGACAGCAACCCAGCTTGGAAGGAGCGTTCTGGGCCTGGAGGAGCAAACTGTGGACACGAGGAGGGCTCCTCTTTGGAGAAGATGCACCACTCCACCCCCTGAAATAGCTGCAGGGTGAAAACTGCATCCTGCCCCACGCCCACCCCAGTTCTCTCTTCTGCATGCTCTTCACCTGTAGTTCCTTCAGCTCCTTACCTATTTTTTCCAGGTCCTTTGGCTTTGGAAGCAATTTAAAGCAATTATATCAACAGGACCCTGGGACAGGTCCATGACCAGATGACCCTCTAAGCACTTAGGAACTGTCCAGGGTCCCAGAGTCCTTTGGTTGGCTTCATTTATTTGTGCTGATGTCTGGGACCAGCAAACGGGAAACACTCCTGCGCGTCCACCTATGCTTGAGGAAGTAAGCAATACGGAAGGCTTTCCTCAGATGACTTCCTGGCAGGGAGCTCTCTGCCTGCATTTCTTCTAATGCACTTCAGAAAATCAAGGACCTGAATTCTGAGGCAAAATCATCAGTATTAGAGATGGAACAACCCTAATATCTCATTTAGGGCCTATCCCTGAGGATCAGACCAAGAAAAGCAATTACAGTGCCAGAACTGAGTCTTTTCACACATGGGATTTAGCTATTTCAAACAGCTTTGAAGGGTTTTTCATCTTTCAAACTGCTACCCCCTCCAAATCACAGTGTGTGCAGCTGTTGGAAGCTGTGAAAGGAAACTAGTGCATTCAGATGAGAAATCCCATGTTCAGACTTGGGATACTTAGTCAAAGCTACTAATGATGTCTCACTCCAAGAATATCTGAAGACATTTTTCTTTGATGAAAGAAGTTAAATATTTCTCAACTACTTTAACCCTGAGTGGTCTTCATTTTTTCTGACATATTGTTAGAGGGTATAGTATGTTGAGGGAGGTAAAAATCTCACAGTAAGAAAACCGATGGAAAGACATCATGCCTGGATTATAAGAGAAAGGGTGTATGTGTTCAGAATTCATTTCAAGTTAATTCAATGCCATAACCATTGATTGAGCAGCCCTCTGGGTAGGCACTGTGCTGGTAGGGTGGAAAGTACCAAAGCAAAAAATGGAATGATCCCAGATGATGATAACAATCCCTCACATCTTTTCAGTGATTCACACCAAAAATTAATTTTAAAAACAGTTTTATTCCTGTATCTCATTTTCTTTTCATAATAATCATAGAGAGTTGTCATAGCAGGAATTAATATCATCATTCTACAGATAAACTGAGATTCTAAAGTTAAATTATGTCCCCTCACCCTTCATTATTTAGATTTTATTACTAGCTTTTATTATCAAGAGTGTGAATTGGAATCAGGTTTTGAGGGAAACCCCTTTGTTTGAAATCCTTAGGATTTAAGAAGCTCCAAGACATGAAATATAAAAGCAAGAATATGGCAGAATGTAGCACTATATGTTGGTTAGTCTCCATTTGCTTCCCGTTCCCCTCTCCCTCATGTGTATTTCTGCCCATTGTCTCCTGTCTCCTGCTGTGTGCCCTGAGAGGCCCACCTCTGTAATTGCATTATGCAGTCACATTTCAGGTGAGTTTGACCAGTGAAAGGAACTAGCAGGAGAATAAAGGACAGTAACTAAGAGACATAGGGCTAGTTCTTTTCCTGCTCCCTTATTTGTCCTTCCTAGACTATAGCACCTGCTGGGTGGCCCTTGCTCTATGGCTCCAGCTCTCACTAGAAACTGGTACTATTCCTTCCTTGCCTTTCCCCTTAGGGATGTTAACAGCTTCCTACTCTTGGTTCCCTTGACCTGGCCCACAACTCTGCAAGTAGTGCCTTCATTACTGTCTCTTGAACCACCTCAGCTAGATCCTGTCTTCCCGCTGGGGCCCCGAACCATATGCACCTCTCCCACATCACCCTAATCTGCAAAAATAAATCTAATACCCCGAGGAACGTAGTGAGCCTAAAATGTCCACAGTCATAAATTCATTGATTTTTTTTCCTTTTAATAATTAATGTTTGTTTCTCCAGTGCTTATCTGTCATAATCCTACCTTGGGCCCTTGTTTATCCCTGGCCTGAACTTTTGTGATGGTCTTAGTAGACTCCCATCTCTAAAGCCTCCTACCTTCAATCAATTCTATCTATAGCCTGCTACAGGATTAAGCTTCTTGGTGCACAATTCTAATCATATCATTTCTGCAGTGACTCTCGAGTGCATAAGGGATAGGGTTCAAACTCCTTGGCCCAGCATGCAGGGCTCTCACCAGTGTGTCCAGCCATATCTATGACTCCCCTATGTCTTCTGTGCTCTCTAGTCCCCAGCCCCTTGCCAAAATGTATAATCTTCATTTTTGTTCACACAGTTTCCTTAGCCTAGAGGGGCCTTTACTTTGAAACTCTTCACAGACTTCAAGGTTCAGCGAAAAGGCTGCCCCCTGCCTGAAGATTGTCTGTTTCCTTAAGAGATAAACAACTGCTTTTTCTTCTACACTCTCATGAGTCTCTTTGTGTTTGTTTCCTATGGTACTTGGCACATTGAACTTCTCAATACATACAGTTATCTTTGTCCATCCTCTTCCATATCCCATTCCAGGCACCTTTCCCAACCAGAGGCTGTCTCGTTCATGGTGGTACCCCTAGCAATGAGAACAGGACACAGCATAGAGTGGTCTCAGCACACACAGCTTCCACGAATGAATTCATCAATGAATGTAGCATCCCCTCAGCACCTAACACAGTGTCTACCATGTGGTCAGACTTTAAAACATTCCAATGATCTACTGAACAGCAGGATAATCTATATTAAATGTCATATATGAGATCTGCATATTTGCCTATTTTGTATGATTATCCCTTCATATGAATATATATTATTTTATCATATGTCATTTTTAAAAAGATCCCTCTTTGGAGAAAGTATTACCACATACATAAGCATCTCTCTTTGTTTTTTTTTTTCTTTTCTAACTAAATGTGCTAAAGCTGAACAAGGGCCTGGAAGAGGTTTCTGAAGGGCAATTGGCTGCGTGCAGCTTTGAAATATCCTACTTTTTTCTCATTTCCTATCAGTCAGTCCCATTCTCTCCTTGCATCCAATTTTGTTTAATGAGACTACTGCAATGTATTTATTTTGGGGTGATTGAATTTAGAAAGACATTCATCTAACACGCAATTGCTGCCACAAGCTGAATGGCTGAATCATAACAGAGATGATGGCATTAATCCGAGGACAGCTGTTTCTTATCATTTCTAACACAAAAAAGGCTCAGGCCAGGCTGGAGTTTCTGCCTCAGTTGCAAGGTGGGACTGATAGGATCTAAAGCAGAAACGCTTCTGGACAGGTGGCAGTAGACAGGGAAAAAGAAGAAATGCCCTGTGAGGGACTAAACATTTGGTTTTTAGAACCTTGTCTCTCTGATGTGTGAGGGTTGCTTCTGACCCTCTGGGATGCTCAAGAAATTCCAATTCTAATGAGATAATTTGATAAGGATGGGAGAAGCATCTGTGTGTGTAACGAACATTTTAAGAGTTCACACATCTGTTGGTAATTCATTGCGGCTATTAAAGCAAAACGATAACAATGCTGGCTTACATTTGCACAGCACCTAATAGTTTATAACATGCATTCACATTCACCGTCTCAGGCAAAATAAGCAGCCACCACCCATGTGCCCAGAGCTCAGGGGCATATCCAATATGGCTCCCAGACAGCTGGGGAGCTCCTTCTAAGGAAATCTCCCATGGCATTTGCCTGCTTCAGATGCCCATAATCCACTATGAAAGTATTACTTCTTTGAACTCAGGCACTTTTACTGCTAAAGCAAAAATGTCCCCAGAAGCAAGCATATAGCCAACTCTGCAACTGATTTACACCTGAGTATGAAGGCATTCTCAGCAGAACAGCTGGCTGAGGATTTGAGCAGTTGTGTCAAACTGACTTCCTCTTACGTGGTACTATTGTGAGCCCTCACTTGAGGACCCCTTAACCTGAGCAAAAGCATCCTGTTCGGCAGGAAGTTTCTCCCAGGCCCTAGAAATCCCAGCAGCCCTCACCATCCAGAAGCTGTCTCATCTGCTGGGGCCTATTCACTCCCACGTAAATGCATCTAAGGTGCTTCCCACACTGGCTCTCCCCTATAGGGGCCCATATCTGCTCCCTGAAGCATTCTTTGCCTGAACAAATTCTGGGAGTGTTGGCCAATCCCGAAGCAGCAGCTACTCCTCCTTGTTCCACAGCCAAAGCATTAGCCAGCCCTGCTCTTTTCCTGTAAATTTCCAGGGCGGGAGTCAGACCCAGTCCCCTGGGCCCCCAACTGCAGGAGACACAGCTCAAGCTCTGAGTGGTCCTGCTGAAGTGAGGTGAGATAGGCACCCACACACCCCTTCCTTATCCCCTGGGGCCATGAGCGGCACTTAGCACACCAGCTGCTTCCTCCAAAGAAATCCTCTTCAAAAGCTTCCAGTCATTCTATCCTTCGACCCTTGGTGAGGATGACGGTGCAAGAGTCACGTAACCACTTTCTGCTAAATCCTGTTTTGAGTTCCTCTGGGTGGTCTGTCCCATTACTTTGGGTATCTGATAGCTATTGTGTCTGAATTCTCTGTGGAAACTTCTAGTCTAACACCCTGTTACAATTCACTCATCTATTCAGTGAACAATTAATGAAGGTCTACCCTAGTGTAGGCCTTTCCTGTCCCCTGCCTCCTTTATCCTCCTCAGTTACTCATTCTTTGCCTTCCTGATATGAAATATTGTAATGAAGAATCAGTCAGTCACTCCTTCTCTCTTATTCCCTTCTTCCCTCTCCATCAATTTCGACTATCATTTTGGATACATGTGAGAAAATGTTTTTATTTTCTATACAAAAATAGGTAACATGCAAACTGAAAAGAATTAAATTAAAACTACAATAAATAATGAAAATATTGGATGTCACATCATCTTATGAGCCTAGCACTTTTTTTAACAGAAAGCATTGAAGGCTGACTCTTGGGAATTAGTTTCTTCAAAATGCTATTGCAAATACACACCAATAAAATATTATAGTAAAGAAGGTGCTTTATCATCTCTTCCTAGTACACAGGGCCTGGAATAGCAGGAAACAAGATGAAAATAAACAAGGGCCAGAAGATATTTCATTATTGCTTAAAAAAAAAACTGTGCTATACTTTCTATAGCATATAAATACAGACACATGAAAAGGATACAATAAAAACAGGAGTTGAAAGGAAAACCCAGTGCTCCAAGACTGCTCCACCAGACAGCTGGAACATCAAACATGCTTTCTGAAATATCATATAACAGCTGTCTACTATGCTAAGCCCTTGAACATTACCCCAAATAGTTTTTTTTTTTTTAAATCATGATGATCAATAGCAACCATTTACTTAGGGCCTTCTCTATGCCCGGTGCTGGACTAAGTGATTTATGGTGCATGTTATTTAATTCTCACAGCAGCCCTGTGAAGAATATGGTATTTATTCCTATTTTATAGATGAGGAAAATGAGCCTTGGTAATTAAGGCATCTGCCTCAAGTTGTGTGCCTTGTCAGTGGCGAAACTGCTCATTATTTTTGGTTCTCAGCAATGCCAAGCCACTGCTCCTTCTACTCTGCTGTGATGCTGTGACCTGGAGGCAGATAAACACGAGTGTTCCACTTCTAATTTTGCCTATTTGTGTAGAAGTGAAGGGTAAAATGGAATTCTGTCCTCATCTGGAAGCCTTTGGTTTTTGTGTTTTTAAGAGCCACCTTGACTTAAGTGGGCATTGGACTGGTCTTTGTGTTAGTGAAACTTTTAGCGATCACGGTGACCCTCTGTTACAGGGTAAGGATGGAATGCAGCTGCCAACTGCCTCCCAGTAATCTCCTACTGGGGAATATATCACAGCACCAACTCCAGGATGTGGGGGAGGATAGAAACAAATGAATCTGGGAATACAGGTTTTTTTTTTTTTTTCCCCTGTCTACTCAGTGTCAATTGGCACCTACAAAAAGCAGTATGTAGCTAGTAAGCACCTTCACTATATCAAGCTAATCCACCAAGACTATACGGCAGGGTCCCCACATAATATGTGACTAAACCTTTTTCGATTCAATTTCTTTTTTTTTTTTTTCTGAGCTGGAGTCTCGCTGTGTCGCCCAGGCTGGAGTGCAGTGGCACAATCTCGGCTCACCACAACCTCCAATTCCTGGGTTCAACTGATTCTCCTGCCTCAGCCTCCCAAGTAGCTGGGATTATAGGCACCCACAACCACACCTGTCTAATTTTTGTACTTTTAGTAGAGATGGGGTTTTGCTATGTTGGCCAGGCGGGTCTCAAACTCCTGACCTCAGGTGATCCACCCACCTTGGCCTCCCAAAGTGCTGGGATTTCAGGCATGAGCCACTGCACTGGCCTTGATTCAATTTCTCTGCAGCTTTTGCCCTACTCCATTTCTATATTAATACAACTCTCTTTTCTTCCTCCTACCCTCTTTACCCTTCTCCCACAAACATTTGTTGAGCCCTTGCTATGTGCCAAGCCCTGAAGTAAGTATAAGGAAATAACAAAGATCTCTGACCTCAAGTATTTTCCAGTTATAGGCCCGGGTTGTGAATATCACAAAGGGGGACAGTTACAGGTGGGATGCATGTCACAGAGATGTCAGGAAAGGTTTACATGGAAAAAAAATGGAAACGTTCCCAAGTTTTCCCTGTTTGGAAAAAATTTCATCCGCACTCCAACCTGAATTCTGTTCCACTTTAGAGCTCTGTCATAGAACCTTATGGCATGTCGGTTTACATTAGTCACTTGGGGCTGGGTTTATCTCCTCCATTCCATTCAGTATAATTCACTCCACATAAATCCTGTGCTAGGCTGTGCTGTGGGAGAGGAAAATGATAAAGTCAATCCCAGGACTGGCTCAGCAGGGAGCTCACAGGAGGAAAGCTACGCAACAGAAGGATAAACCAAGTGCAACAGAGGATGACATGGACACAGATTTGCCTCCTCCCACTAAAGGAGGCAAATGCCATGGAGTGCTTTAGGGAAGAAGTGGCATTTGAGAGGAGCTTTGAAAGGTGAGCAAGATTTCTCTAGTCAGAGACCGAAAGAGAGATGATGCTTTGTAACAGATTCAGAGAAGGCAAGAAGAAGGGGAAAGAATGAGACAGTGTGTTTGAGGGAACTGCAGTAAACCAATGAGGCTGGCATATAGGGTATATGGTCAGGGAGAGGTGTATGATTGGAAGAAAAAAACCTGGAAAGGTTAATTTGGACCAATCTGTGGGGGCTTTCAATACTTGTAAGGTATTGACACTTAATATGTAGGCTATTTCCCACTCAAAAATGCTTCTCATTTTGGGGAAGCATTTTTGGCTGGGAAATTTATGTGCCCAAAGTTGTTTTGTATGGATTGTGGATGAGAAAAGAGACAAGGAGACCAATCGGGATGAGTGTAGTATTCCAGGTAAAAGAGGCTGTTGTTGCTGATGAGAAGTAGCAGTGGAGAGGGAGAACTGCCACTCTTGGGTCAGGGGCTGAGTGTCACCTATTCATTTGTCCCCTGTAACAGCCAGCACTGTTCCCCCCTGTTTCATAAATATTTGTGAGATTGAACTGTATTAAAGATTCAATTTGAAAGTATGAATTTATGTCTTGCAGATGTCTTGTCCTTTTTGTTTTAATCCTGTCATAAAAGTCATTCAATTCCAAGTCACAGTATTGTCCCTGCCGAAGGCTATCATTATCTGGCAGTTATGTGGCACCTCAGAGCAGTGGCACCTCATTTGCAGTCCTTAATTGCCTCATGCACCATTTTAATTGGTCTGCGATTGTCTGTGTGGACAGACCTCATTTCCTTTCTGGAGTCAGCTGGGGCTGCCCCACCCTTTCCTACAAGCTCAGTCATCCGAACATCACTAGCTGAGAAGACTCAGGAAGGCTGCTGAGCTCCAAAGCATGCAAAGAATGGGCTCTCATGGGGAGTTCTAAAGACCAGAGGGCTGCTGGGACCCACGAAAGGGCAGCTGTCCAGTGAACTCAGAGTCACTTTAGGCAGGCCTTTTTAGGAAAGTAGGAAGGAAGGTACAACAGGGGCAAACTGTAGGGACCGCCCAGAGTGTGACACAAGAATTCCAGATGAGGTTTGATAATTACATCAGTAGGGATCTTTAAAAATGGTTAAGATGACCCATTTAGAAAGTAATCCACCTCAAGGGATGGCTTAGAATTAGGGAATTAATGAGGACACAGTGTCTCCCGAATCCGGTCAAGTGGTCAGATTGGATTGGGATCATGAACTCAATTTAATCAAAAGATAATAATGGCTAATTTTACTGAGCATTTACTATGTGCCAGATACTTTTCTAAGCACTGTACCTACATTAGCATATTTAATCCTCACAATAATTCTATAAAGTGAGTGCTATCATTTCTCCATTTTACATGTGAGGAAACAGGCACAGAGCCAGTAAGACTTATCCCAGTGGGCAAGTGGTAGAGCCTGCATTTGAAACCAGGCAGTCTGGCTCTGGCATGTACTGAATGCAACGCTCTCTGAGGTCAGAGTGTCTCTTGTTCTCATCACTCCAGCCAGCAGAACTGGAGGACAGAAGAGGCCTGAATTGTAACATCTCATTCTGAGATATGAATGTTTGTCGTCATGGCATAAAGGGAAAAAAGTTTAGTTCTGCAGCCAAACAGACCTGCTTAGAAACCCATTTCCATCATATTAGTGATCTTGGGCAAGTTTAACCTCTAAAGGTTACAGTTTCTTGGGCGTAGGATAGAGATTAAGAGCAAAATCACATACCTAGGCCTGAGCCTAGCATAGTGTGGGTGCTCAATAATGACTCTTATCATGGTCTGTGTGCAGTCTGCGGAAAGCAAGCAATGCATAAGAATGGGTCCTTGTACATCCAGCAGTGTTTAGAGGAAAAGACTTCTGAGTCTAAGAGGGGTCGTTCAACCCTATGTTTCCTGTAGCTTGGTGGTAATATACCCCAGGAACACCAGCCCCCTTCATTCTAACTCTAGGATCACTGTTGTGCCTTCCAATCTATAATTTGGTCTTTGCTCCTGCCAACTCTGCCCTGAGGGGTCTGTCTAATCCTGTTGTTCTATCTCCTAGAGATACGGAGAGACTAGACCCATCTACAGTACTGCAAATCAAGCCCTACTTCTGATACTAGATTTTTCAATCATGGTTTCATGGTAAGCCTCAAATCTGACTTCTGTGCTTGACCTTCAAGTGGGTAAATCTAACAACAGTATTATGTGATATTTCTTCTCAGTGCAGGTGGAATTTACAAGAAAACTCTGTTCTTTTTCATGGTGCAACAGCAGGATGCAACAGAAAGTGCCCTGGGCTCTGAGATCTGTCTCTACCTCTTATTAACTGTGTGACCATAAGCAACTCCAATCCCCGCCCTTTCCCTCAAGAGTTCTTAGGATGATGGAATAAAACAACAGATGTGGGCCGGGCGCAGTGGCTCATGCCTGTAATCCCAGCACTTTGGGAGGCCAAGGTGGATGGATCACTTGAGGTTAGGAGTTTGAGACCAGCCTGGCCAACATGGTGAAACCCCGTCTTTACTAAAAATACAAAATTAGCCGGGTGTGGTGGTACACACCTGAAATCCCAGCTACGTGAGAGGGTGAACCAGGAGAATAGCTAGAACTCAGAGGCAGAGGTTGCAGTGAGCTGAGATTATACCACTGCACTCCAGCCTGGGCGACAGAGTAAGACTCTGTCAAAAAAAAAAAAAAAAAAAAAGGGCTGGGCACAGTGGCTCATGCCTGTAATCCCAGCACTTTGGGAGGCCGAGGCGGGTGGATCACTTGAGGTCAGGAGTTCAAGACCAGCCTGACCAACATGGTGAAACCCCGTCTCTACTAAAAATACACAAAAAAACAAGCTGGGCATGATGGTGGGTGCCTGTAATCTCAGCTACTTGGGAGGCTGAGGCATAAGAATTGCTTGAATCCAGGAGACGGAGGTTGCAGTGAGCTGAGATCATGCCATTACACTCCAGCCTGGGTGACAGAGGGAGACTCTGTCTCAAAAAAAAAAAAGAACAGATGTGATCATGTGTTTTGATTACAAAGAAACACATGAATGGAATGGAAGGAGTTATTATCACTGAGGTTTCATCTAGTTTGGGAAATCCCGACAATGTTAAATAAGATTGCTCTAAGCCATCTGGGGCTTGGGGTGTCCTAAAATCTCGAGGCTGTAAAGTGTTGTCAGTACTAAGGGCAACAGTGAGTGATCCTGAAAGAATTAGAAATGAGATTGTCCTTGAGAGTTAAAATAGGACATCAACACATAATGTATTAGAGTAGAGATTTGCTAAGTCACCTTAAAGAAACAGAATGGTTCTCAGACCGGGACCACTTGATGAAATCTCATTGAAAATATTAATACAGGTAAAGAAGAAAAGCTCAATCAGAAGCGAGGTTGACGAGCTAAGAAAATGCTATAGACCGGTGCAGTGGCTCATGCCTGTAATCCCAGCACTTTCAGAGGCCGAGGTGGGTAGATCACCTGAGCTCAGGAGTTCAAGACCAGCCTAGGCAACACAGCTAAACCCCATCTCTACCAAAAAATACAAAAAAATTAGCCAGGCATGGTATGCCTGTGGTCCCAGCTACTCAGGAGGCTGACATAGGAGGATCACTTGAGCCTGGGAAGTGGAGGTTGCAGAGAGCTGAGATCACGCCACTGCATTCCAACCTGGGTGACAGAGTGAGACCCCTGTGTCACACACAAAAAAAAAAGAAAGAAAGAAAAGACTAGAAAAGGTAGCAACCCTGCAAGGTCAGACAAGCAAGTCTTGGCAAAGGGGCTCTGGTTAAGAAGGAGATTTGGGTAATTCTGATGACAGGTATCTCCCTATTATAGAGGTCTAGGCCAGATGCCTCTAAACATTCTTTTAATTTCTTCCCCTTGTTTTAATTCCACACTTATCAAGCAATCTAATTATAGTTTAGCTTCATGTAGCTCCACCTACAAGAAATAAATCCATTAGCCATTGGACTTAGGCATCCCTTGGCAATTGTATTTCTTACCATGAGTTAATAAACTGACACCTGATTATAATATGACTTCTCATTTGGCCTACTTACTGGGCTAGAATGCTCTAGTCATAGGCCTTGAACATTTGAAACCTTCAGCAATTCTAGTTTTCCTTGTAAATAAGCTAGCATCCTGGTTATGTACATTAGCCTTGTAAGCCTAGACACCCTTGACTGCTGACAAATTAGACTTCCGAACCTCAGGGGCAAAGGGCCAGAACCTGGACCCTGTAACTTCATTAAGGTAATGCCCCACTGTGAAGGTTTTTTGGGAAACATTTCAGCTGGCCTTTCCCTGGAGTCATTCAGTCAATTTCATTGTCCACACCATGCCTTTTGAAACACTACGGAAGGAACTGACGCCCTTGTGCAATGCAGGGATTCCCTCTGTGGCAAAGCCTACCAACAGATGAATATGAATAAGTCCATATTCTTCATCCTGCCTGTCTCATTGGGATCCCAGCCTGCCTTCCCCATGTTATTTCCCATTTCTTCCCTATATGCACTCTGCATTCCAGACTTGGTATCTTTGCCTGTGTTGTCCATTTCTGCCTAGAATAATCTTTTTCCCTCTACCCCTCAGTCCCACATGCCTAATCCCATCTTTGATTCAAGACTTGGGCTAGGTGTCCACTCTTCAACAACCACTTCCATAATTGCTACCCCATCTCTGAAGTCCCATAGATCATTCCTGTTCATTTTCTACCTATGTTAGAGTGATGTCATATGAGAGGTCTCTAAGAAACTCAGAAATAAAGTCCCCTCTCTGCTGGCAGCATTCTTCCCTTATAAGAAAATCTTCCTGGGAAGTCAGATTCATTCAGTCTTTCATTTATTTATTCAGTCATTTGACAAATATTTCCTGAGTGCCTCTATGTGCCAGGCAGTAGGAGGCAAGTGTGGATAAGATTGACAGGGCTTCTGCCCTTATGCAGCTTCCAGTCTAGTGAGAGATGACAGACACTAAATAAAGAAACAGTTAATAAATTATGGCTGTAATAAGTGCCATGAAGCCGCACATAGTACATAGTACTCTGAGAGTACAGAAGAGGCTTTCCAGAAAAGTTATATTTAAGTTAAACCTGAAGGTACATAGGAGCCAAGAGAAGAAGAAAAGGTGCTTGAAAGAATGTGAGTTGAATGATCTCAGTGGCCAGTGTCACTGAGCTGTGGCAGCCTGATGTTTTCAGTCCATGGTTGACTACCCTGTCTTCAGAGAACGCTAGGAACAAATTTTAAAATATTTTTCCGCTGTGTCTCTGTTTTCGAGCTCCAGGCAGACTAACCCCTTTACACTAAGAGCCAGCAAAGTATCATATGATTTGTTGTATTTAAGCTCCCTTAGTTATAATTATATTCCCATTAGCCAGTTGATTTTGTTGGTTTGTTTCACATTAACTTTTCCTAATTTCATTCTCAAAGGGTAACATTAACTTCTTGCTTTAGGGAATCTTACTGTCAATCTCATCTACCACCTGTAAGGTACAAAAATCTTTATTTTGTTATCTGTTGTATCTGCAGTGCTATGATGCCTGTCACATACATAGTAGGTGCTCAGTATATATTCACTGAGTGAATGGATGCATGGATAGATGACTTTTATCTTCCCTCTTACACCAGGAGCTCTCTAGGAGCACACTACTTGCCTAGTTCACATTTGGGCTCCTCTAGCACTTAGGACAATGTCCTGCACATGGTAGGTAATTAATCAATAAATTATTTTTGAAAATGAAAAATCACCTTGCCTTTGCTTGAACGTTTTCATGACTGGAAAGAACTTCTTGCTTTTTCAGGCAGTTGGTGGTAGTTGAACTGCTCTAGCCATTAAAGTTCTTCCCATTCTCAGGTTAACATCTACCTCCCTACTGGTCCTAGTTCTGCCCTCTGGACCCATGAAGGACAACTCCTCATCCTCTGCCCCGTGGCAGTCCTTCTGATATTGGGAACAGTGACCAGGTTCTCGTAGTCACTTAAAAACAGGACATCTCTCCAGTGAACTCAAATCCTTTAAAATACTTTGAAGTAGGCTGGGCACGGTGGCTCATGCCTGTAATCCCAACACTTTGGGAGGCCAAGGCGGGCAGATCACCTGAGGTCAGGAGTTCGAGACCAGCCTGGTCAATGTGGTGAAACCTTGTCTCTACTAAAAATACAAAAATTATCCCAGCTACTTGGGAGGCTGAGGCAGGGGAATCGCTTGAACCCGGGAGGCAGAAGTTGCAGTGAGCTGAGATCGTGCCACTGCACTCCAGCCTGGCAACAGAGCAAGACTCCGTCTCAAAAAAAAAAAAAAAAAAAAAATTAGCTGGGCATGGTGGTGCATGCCTGTAATCCCAGTTACTTGGGAGGCTGAGGCAGGAGAATCGCTGGAACCCGAGAAGCGGAGGTTGCAGTGAGCCGAGATCACGCCACTGCACTCCAGCCTGGGCAATAGATCGAGACTCCGTCTCAAAAACAAAAACAAAAACAAAAGCAAAAACAAACAAAAACAAAAAAACTTTGAAGTACTCCTAGCATACTTCAAAGGAGGACACACCCCTCATAAGTTTGTGAGTGTTCTGAACTCCCACAGAGAGCCACTGTGCAAGCAGTTTCTCTCTCCAGGTCAGGAACCCAGACCGGAAACAGTGCTAACAATAATGAATGTTTACTTCACAATTAATAATGGTTTACTGGTCAATCCACATCACACCCCTGGGATATAGGTCAGGGTTTCTAGGCCTATAAATGGTCAAGGAAATGAAGCAGAAGACAAGGGCTTAAGTGTATTTTGCATAGGTGCTGGGACCTGAGTGGAGGAAAGAACCACTGAGCTGAGGGCTCAGGAAATCAAGAGCCTATTATACCCAGGCTGATCCACTGGGAATCGCCACTGGCCTCTCTCCTAGGCTGAGAGAATCACTTTAGGTCCAATGTCATTATAACCAGATCTGTGAAATGCTGCACATTCTAAGATAAGGAGTAAAGGGAAAAAAAGAATACAGAAGATAGACATTGAAGGCTTACTGTATGCCAAGCTCTGCATTAAGCTCTGTGCACTAAGGTATGTCAAAAATGTTTCCAAATACAGCATCTTAAACATATAAACCCAAAGCTATGCATACAGGTTTACTATTATTTGAAATAAAGGGTGTATTACCTGGAGGCTCAAATATCTTTCTGTTACACATAGCTTTTATTGTAGTGGGATTTGCTCCAAATCCTCTTAGAACCAATATACACTTGGGCAAAAAAAGAGTCTACCAAATAAAATAAGTGCACATATTTAATTTCATCAATTTCATTGTATTGTAAATGCACAAGACATTTTTAGTGATTCCCTCTGAAAATCAGAATCCTTTCAAAATCATTTTATAATTTGAAGAAATCCCTTCTTTATATTAGATCTTCAAGAGTAAGGCTTCCTGCAAGCAATGATTCTTAACCTGTTGGGAGATTTCGAGTCCTTTGAGAATCTGCTGACAGGTGGGGCCGTCCGCAGAAGCACATGTAGATTCGCATAAGCACAAAAAATTTGCTTATACAATTTCAGGGTCTGTGAACTCAAGGTTAAGAGCTTCTAACCTCTCACATACGTTGCTGATGAGAATGCAAATTGGTACAAAGGTCAAGAAGGGAAATTTGGCAATATCTATCAAAATTACAAATGCTAGACTGCAGGGCTGGACTTTGCTAAAAAAACAATTACAAATGCACATACCCTTTGGCCCAGTATCTCCTCTTCTAGGAAGTTATCCTACAAACGTATTTTTACATGGGTGAAATGATGCTTGCACAAAGGTATTAACTGCAGCATTATTTGTTACAGAAAAAGACTGGAAACAACCTAAATGTCCATCAATAGGGGACTGGTTAAATACATTTTAGTATGTCCATACATAAAATACAATGTATCTTTGTTTAAAAAAGAATGTGAGGCCAGGATGGTGGCTCACGCCTGTAATCCCAGCACTTTAGGAAGCTGAGGCGGGCAGATCACCTGAGGTTGGGAGTTCGAGACCAGTCTAACAACATGGAGAAACCCCATCTCTGCTAAAAGAAAAAAAACCACACAATTATCCAGGTGTGATGGCGCACGCCTGTAATCGCAGCTACTCAGGAGGCTGTGGCAGGAGAATCTCTTGAACCCAGGAGGCGGAGGTTGCAGTGAGCCGAGATCGCGCCATTGCACTCCAGCCTGGGCAACAAGAGAGAAACGCTGTCTCAAAAAAAAAAAAAAAAGAATGTGATAGTTATTCATGTACTGATATAACACAATCTCTAACATATATGATATGATAAATGAAAAAGAGAGATATAGGACAGTGTAAACAGTATACCATTTGTTTTTTGTTGTTGTTTTTTTGACAGAGTGGGACTCCGTCTCTAAAAAAATAAAATAAAATAAAATAAAGTCAAGCAAGTCCTAAACCTCACTTTCCTCATTTATTCAGTTATTCAACAAATGGAGTGTCTCTTATGTGCTAGACACTGTTCTGGCCACTAAGGATACTGAAGTAAAAAAAAGAGACAAAAATCTCTGCCCTTGCTTGAGGTGATGGATAGCCCAATGACTCTGATTTGATCATTATACACTGTATGCTTGCATCAAAATATCACATGTATCCCGTAACTATGTACAACTGTTATGTATCCATAATGATTCAAAATTCAAAAAAATCTCCACATTCATGGAGCTGACATTCTATTGTGGGGAAAGAGACAACAAATTAAGAAAACTATGTAGTATGTTCAATGGTGGCAAGTGCTGGGAAGAAACTAAAGTTGGGAAGAAACATGACGACTGCTGGCCGGGGGTAGTTGTAAAAACTAAATGGGGCTTCAGGGCAGGGCTTTCTGGGAAAGTGACATTGGACCTGAAAGAGAGGCAGCTCCAAAGCCTGTGGATAGGGTGTTGGGGAAAGCAGTCCAGGCAGAGGGAAGAATCAGAGCCAAGACTCTGGGGCCCTGAGTAGGCTTGGCTTTCCTGAGGAAGAGCAAGGAGGCTGGAGCCGAGGAAGCTAGTGAGGAAGGCTGAGGGAAGGACAGCCAGTGAGAGAAGACACGGGCCCGTGGAGCCTTTGTAGCCATTGTAAGGGCTTTGATTTCCACTCTGAGTCAGATGGGAAGCCGCTGAAAGGTTTTGAACTTGCATTTTAACAAGAGCACTTTAGCTACCATGATGAACAGACTTGAAGGGGGTGAGGGCGGAAGGTTACTGCAATCATCCGGGTGAAAGAGGATGGTGGTTTGAAGCAGGGAAGTAACAGTGGAGGAGTGAGAAGTACTCTGATTCTGGATATGCTTTATGAAGGTGCAGCAACAGGATTTGCTGACCAGATTGGATGCAGGGTTTGAGAGAAAGAGATGAGTCAAAGATGACTCCAAGGTTTTGGGCCTCAGCAACCTGAAGGCTGGACTTGCCGCTACCTGAGATGAGGAAAACTGAAGGGGAGGAAGTTTCTTGGGGGCAGAGGAACGAGAAGGGAATATTAGGAGCCAAGTTTTAGACATTTTAAACTTGAGATACTTTTTTTTTTTTTTTGAGACGGAGTTTCGCTCTTGTTGCCCAGGCTGGAGTGCAATGGCGTGATCTGGGTTCACCGCAAACTCCGCCTCCCAGGTTCAAGTGATTCTCCTGCCTCAGCCTCCCAAGTAGCTGGGATTACAGGCATGTGCCACCATGCCCGGCTAACTTTTTGTATTTTTAGTAGAGACGGGGTTTCTCCATGTTGGTCAGGCTGGTCTCGAACTCCTGATCTCAGGTGATCTGCCCGCCTCAGCCTCCCAAAGTGCTGGGATTACAGGCGTGAGCCACCATGCCCGGCCTGAGATGCCTATTAAACATCCAAACAGAGATGTTGAGTGGACAGTTGGATGTTTGGTCAGGAATTCAGGAGCACGGTTGGACTGTAATAATATTCATCTGTAAAACTGGGATAATATAATAACACCTACATAATAATGCTTATTATTGGGAGGATTAAACAAGACAATCCATGTGAAACTTTCAGTGTACACAGGGCCTAGCACACAATACGCCCCCAATACATTTCAGCTATTATTCTTATTGAAATTTAAATACTCTTAGTATTTTTATCATTACTATGAAGTTATGAATATGGTTGCTTTTAAGATTAATAAGTTGTTTCTGTGTCAATTCCCAGGAATGATTTGCAAAAGAAAACTAAGTCTTGCCAGGCACAGTGGCAAGTGCCTATAGTTCCAGCTACTTGGGAGGCTGAGATAGGAAGATCACTTGAGCCCAGGAGTTCAAGTCCAGCCTGGGCAACATAGTGAGACCAACTACCCTCCCCCCATCTCAGGAAGGAAGAAAGAAAGTGGAAGGAAGGAAAGAAGGAAGGAAGGAGGGAAGGAAGAAAGGAAAAGAAAAGAAGGAAGGATGTAAAGGAAGGAAAGAAAGAAAGAGAGAAAGATAGAAAAAAAAAAAGAAAGAAAGAGAAAGAAGAGAAAGAAAGAAAGTAGGCAGTGCCTTTGAAATTGGTTTCTAGGCCCCAGAGTTCAAAACTTTGAAGAGTTGGGCATGCATCCTAGTCCTTATAAGTTATGCCATGTTTCTTAAATAATCAGTATGTTACTTCATCAACCCAGAATTTATGTCAAGCTTTGAAAAGGGTTTGACATGGAGAATGAGGCAGTTTATCAGGAGAAATTGAATACGAGCAAGGACCCTGTGGGGAAGACATTCCCAGCCTGTTCACGTAGCCTTCGTGACACAGGGTTTAAATGCAATGCAGCATGAGAACTGACTACCCCGTCTCGCCTTCAATAGCTATAGATGTTATCGCTGGCCACAAGTTTATCTGGCTCCTTTTAAAATTGATTCACAAAAGCCACGACCCATGTCTTCCTGAAATAGCAAGCTTCTCAGAGGAACTTCCCTTGAAGAAACACACTCTTGCTATCGTCTATTAATTTATTCAGTGATCTTTAGCTGTTTTATGTTGGGGAAGTAGAAACAAGAGCTGGTATGGTTTTATTACACATTTCTAGATCTTTGAAGCAGCGAGCTTCTAACATCAAAACCTAAACCATGAGGTTTCTCATTATTTTCACATCTCTTTGAATTTTGACTATAAATCCCCGACCCTGTAATTCTCCTTAATATCTATGACAGGCTTGATGCTCAATAACTACCTATTAAGAATCCTCCTAATCTCCATTTATATGCAAAGGAAAGAGGTGTTGAATGGTTCAAACAATCCAAAAATGCTTGTGTAACAAATAGATGACTAAGGTCACATACAATCACAGACCTTGTTTGATGAATTTAGCAATGGCAACACAACCACAAGGATACAGGTGGATGTACCAGTGAGAGAGAGAAGGAACAGTAACACAAAGGAGGCGCTTTTTCCCCTAATCCTTGTTTTTTTTCCTTAAATGAGGTCACATAAACTGAACTGACTGCTGCTAATGAGGAGGTCATTGCTCAATTAAACTTCATGAAACACCACTTTCATTCCTTTCCCCGGATTCTTTTGTTTCTAATGATTTTTTTGAGATGGAGTCTCACTTTGTCACCCAGGCTGGAGTGCAGTGGTGTGATCCTGGCTCCCTGCAACCTCCGCCTCTCGGGTTCAAGTGATTCTCCCTGCTTCAGCCTCCCAAGCAGCTGGGATTACAGGCACGAGCCACCATGCTTGGCTAATTTTTGTATTTTTATTAGAGACGGGATTTCTCCACGTTGGCCAGGCTGGTCTCGAAATCCTGACCTCAGGTGATCCACCCGCCCCGGCCTCCCAAAGTGCTGGGATTATAGGTGTCAGCCACTGTGCTCAACCATGTTTCTAATGATTTCTACATTCACTGTCACTATGCTTCAAGCAGTGGCTTCATGTGAAAAAATAATAAAAACAAAACCCTTCTCCCTTCTCCCAGGAGTCAAGGACTAACCCCTCAGGGTCTCATAGCCCAGAATGACATGTGAAGGGCCAAGGACTCCCTTACATCTATGGTTCCCTGCAGACACTCCTACTCCAGCCTCTCTCTGGCTGTGTGTCCCAGAACTCTAGGTGGAGGAGAGCTAAGCAATCCAGGAACTGATCATTCTGAACTGAGCCAGTCAAGCTGATCTGTGGCAAGAACTTAATAAATTTCTATCCTGTATCTGTTTTTCTGGTTTAAAGGGAATCTTTTTTGTTTTCTATTAATTTTAAAGTAAATTTTAGTTTTATATTTCCAGCCAAGCTAAGAGGGAAAAGAAAAGAGTTTTGTGCATATTCAGCGTGGTGGTGCCAGAAGAAAACGCTATTTAGCAAGAGGTGCTTTATACACCAACCTCTCTTTGGCTTTAAAATTTAGAACTCAGGGCCACCAGAAAAATACAGGTATCTTTTTGTCCATGGGCAGTGTGACCATAAAGTTTGTCATCCAACCCAGAATACTTCTGAGAGTGAAACAAGGCAATACAAAGAATGCCACCAGTACAACAAGCAAATCAGACATCACTTTCATCACCAAATAAGTCCCTAGTCTACAACAATTTTTTCATCACTCAAGAGGCTTGATCCAATAGATGGTTCCATGGCTGGCACACAGAATAAATGCCCTCTTCCACCGGGATAAATATGCCCTACTGTTTTATGAATACAAGAGCAGGTTTCTTTCCTTCTCCCCTCTCTTATCCAACCATCTCTACTGCCATTTTAATTACAGAGTCCTGTTGCAGATTCTGTCTACCCAGACCTGCCATAACCTTAGCCCCTACATCCTTGCTCCAAAAAGTTCATCCAGGGGTCTACAGATTATACAACCCATCTCCTGATTTCAGTTAGTGGGCAGTGAGCTGAATATTTAAACTTCCGTAAGGCTGAGTGTAGCGGTTCATGCCTGTAATCCCAGCTATGTGGGAGGCTGAGGTGGAAGGATCATTTGAGCCCAGGACTTCAAGACCAGCCTGGGCAACAAAGTGAGACCCTGCTTCTACATAAAATTTAAAAACTACCCAGGCATGAACCTGTAGTCCCAGCTACTCAGGAGGCTGAGGTGGGAGGATCCCTTCAGCCCAAGAATTTGAGGTTGTGATGAGCTATGATCATGCCACTGCACTCCAGCCTGGGTGACAGAGTGAGACCTTGTCTCAGTCAGTAAATAAATAAATAAATAAATAAATAAATAAATAAATAAATAAAATTCTACCAGAATGACAATATGATTTGGAATTAGTCTTATCTGCTGTACAAACCAGGACAGAGGTCCTAAGGCAATTTCCAAAGTCCTATCAGATAGGTGGCCTTTCTCACCATTAGCAGGGGGCTCCTCTAGGGCACAGAATATGTACAATCTAATTCTATATTGACAGTGGCTAGTGCCCAGAGCAGGGGCTGGTGTAGAGTGGGTTCTCAGTATGTGCTATGGAATGACCAGGCTGCTTTCTCATCTCCGTCAGCTCTGGGTTCTTGAGTGCCCATGCTTTTCCTACCCCTTTCAATGCAGTAAGGGGGAGTCCTGCCATGATCTGTCAGCTGGCTGGGTTGGGCTTTGTTGCCAGCCCTCAGGGACTGACTAGCATTCTGCTTCTCCCAAGGATTGTGCTGAGCCAAACAGAGCCTCCCACAGACTCCAGGTACCAGGTTTGGGCACAGGCTGAGTCTGCTGGGTTCCATTCAGTTCAGGAACATCCAGCAAAGTCCATTACCTTCCCAGCCCCAGGCTGGGTACTGGAAGCACAGACTGAAAGTCATATACAATATCAAAAGGTTATATATGCACTGAAGCACGGTGACTAACAGCAACGACTCCACAGTGGAACTGCCTGGATTTGTATTCCAGCTCCACAATGTACTATCTGATTATCCTTGGATGAATATTTAACCTCTCTATGCCTGACTTTTCCATTTGTAAAGTGGAAATAATAGAGCCTGCCTCAGAGGGTTGATGTGAGAATTATATTCAATGATTTAGAACCATGCTTGGCACAGCAGAAATGCTCAATAATGCTAACTATTACTGTTTTGGGGTTTTGGCTCCTCTTCCTGCGGCCCTAATGCTTGGCCCACTTCCCTTCATTCTCCCTGGTTCTGGCTGGTTCCCTCATTTTTCAGGAAGGTCTTTTCTTTGCTCTTGGCCCACTTCAATGCTGAGGACCAAGGACACACATCTTCACGCTAACATTTGGCTGGTGCCTTGTCCATCAGGATTTAAATCCAAAATCTTTATGAGGTTAAGCAATTTTCTACCATCCCTGAACACAAGTGAATCATTACATAACTATTTTTCTAAGAAGGAAAGAAAACCTGGTCCACACAGAAGGAGGACCAGATTTGGAAGGAGTTGCTCTGAGCAAGAAGCCCCTGCTTCTAAGCATACCTTGTGACTACATATTTCCAGTTCTTTCAGGGACAAAAGTGGGTGTTTCCACCCACCTCTCAGAAATTCTGATACAGTGAACAAAAAGAATCTTCTTAGGATTTTTAACAATCACGCTGTTATTTTCTTCTCTACTCACCCTAAGTTCTCTACCAGGTACTAGATCTTCTTAACTAGTAATGATTGGTTACAATATATTTACTCAATTAGGCAAATAGACACTTTTCTTTAATATAATCTTTAATATAATCACCAAAGCCACTACTACCTAGTCAGGAAAGGTAAACTTTGAAATAAACTGGATTTTTTTTCACTTAGATTAAGAAAATGCTGAATTTTTATGATTTTATAGTTCATAGCCTCAAACTCCAAATAATTTTAATTCGCACACTTAACAGTTGCATTCAAAAACACTGCATTGCTGCCATGCCTGCCCCAGCCAAGTTCCAGGTGGTACTCTTTGCATCATCTCCAACACTTAAATTACAGATAATTTCAGTGAAAAGCAAATAATCAAAACTATGTAATAATGAGATTACAGGCTCACTCCTGTAATCCCAGCACTTTGGAGGCTGAGGTGGGCGGATCACCTGAGGTCAGGAGTTCGAGACCAACCTGGCCAAAATGGAGAAACCCCATCTCTACTAAAAATACAAAAAATTAGCCGGGCGTGGTGGCACACACCTGTAAGCCCAGCTACTTGGGAGGCTGAGGCAGGAGAAATATTTGAACTCAGGAGGCAGAGGTTGCAGTGAGCTGAGATTGCACCATTGCACTCCAGCCTGGACGACAAGAGCAAAACTCCGTCTCAAAAACAAAACAAAACAAAACAAAATAAAACAAAACAAAACAAAACAAAAAACCTATTAGCCAATAAACACAAAAACCTCCCCAAATATGATCATTCTATTAAGTATAAATCACAACTGCTCTGCCACCCACCTCCCCCACTGCAATACTTAGGAATGTTTCCTTCTGATGGATCTGAGTTAAATCCTTAAGACACAGCGGTCGAACTATTGTGTCCCAGAAGTCTCTACTTCCAGGATGACTTAAACACATCTCTGACCTAACTCGTTTTTTTGGCTTTGTTTGTTTTTTTGCTCATGGTGCCTGCTAACCCAAACCAATGGTTCAGTTGCCGTATGCTCCTAACACACACTTACCTCCTTCCTTCCACCAGTGTCCACAGTCTTCACACTGATCACCAAATCCCAGCATCAATCCTGGAAGAGACTGTAGAGACCAGCCAATCCAAGCCCTCATTTTACAGATATGGACTCTGGCGCCTACTAAGAGATAGACACTTGGCCAGGGTCACGCAGCTCATTAATGCAAGAGCTGGGACTAGAATTGCTTAACTGGAGATTCATCTCCCTGTGGTGTCATTCTTCTTCCAACTGGTTCTTTTGCCCTTTGCCCTAGTTGGCTTTCCTGCACTCGCACACAGTCCACACCCTCCTGGGATTTGGCAGCAGCCTGTGAGGCTCACCTGGAGTGAACTAACCCAGCTCAGCTGGCCTGGGACTCTTTACCTTCAGAGGAACAAGGATCACGTGGCTCTCCCGGAAACAGAAACACTGTGTGTGGGGATGCACGGGATGTTCAAGTATATCCATCACTACAGGTCTGCCAAGTCCTCCATGCTGAGGAGCAAACAGAGCTTACAAGTCATTTCTAATATCTGAGACTGTTAGGTTCTTTTTTGCTATAATTTCAGGTTACCCTGTAATAAGAGCTTTGGTAGTGCCCCCTAAAATAAACTTATTTACGATAAACATTTACTTAGGAGATAACCAAACAGTTCTCATTTGCTAGGCACTGTGTTGGCATGAGAGATACAAAAATGAGAAGACGTGATTCCCATCCTTATTTTGGTGGAAGAGAAAAACACATAGACAATGGTAAGATATTATGCTAAGTGCTTTGACGCTTGGACAAGAGTAGGCACAGGTCTCATAGACACACAGAAGCAGCAGCTAAGCCAGCACAGGAGAGCTAGTGGAATTTTTTTCATGACCTTTTTATTTAGAATAGTTTAAGATTGATAGCAAAGTTGCAAAGATAGTGCAGAGAATTCCATATACTTCTCACCCTGGTCTCCCCAGTATTAACATCCTGTATTACAGTGGTACCATGGTTACAACTAAGGAACCAGCACTGGCAAGTAACCATTAACTAAACTAGTAAAGACTTTTTGGAAAAGGTGATATCTAAGGTGATTTTATTTATTTATTTATTTATTTATTTATTTATTTATTTATTTTTGAGATGGAGTTTCGCTCTTGTTGCCCAGGCTGGAGTGCAGTGGCGAAATCTTGGCTCACTGCAACTTCCACCTCCCGGGTTCAAGCAATTCTCCTGCCTCAGCCTCCCAGTAGCTGGGATTACAGGCTTCTGCTATGACTCCCGGCTAATTTTTTTCTATTTCTAGTAGAGACAGGGTTTCAACATGTTGGCCAGGCTGGTGTTGAACTCCTGACCTCAGGTGATCTGCCCGCCTCGGCTTCCCAAAGTGCTGGGATTACAGGCATAAACCACTGCACCCAGCTATTTCTGAATGACATTAGGAATTAGCCAGATGAAGAGATAGAAAAAGGGATTTTGTGTGTGTGTGTGTTTTTAGTAGAGACGGGGTTTCACCATGTTAACCACGTGGTCTCAATCTCCTGACCTCGTGATCCTCCCGCCTCAGCCTCCCAAAGTGCTGGGATCACAGGCGTGAGCCACCACACCTGGCCAGGAAAAGGAATTTTAATCAGAAAGAATTCATGTGCAAAGACCTATCTTCCCACCAACATCATCCCTTTTTACTCTCTTCCTCAACCTGTTGCCTCTTCTTCACTCTTCCTCTATTCTTCTCTTTTCCCACTCAACCTCCCGCCTCTATCTCCATACACCGATCTGCTGGATGTTCCCTGAGCTCACCAAACTCTTTGCTTTGGGTCTTTGCACTATAAAATGTATATTTAGGAAGATCACTCAGGCTGCAAGGTAGACAACGCACTAGGGAGGATAAGACAGAATAAAGACCAATTAATGGGTGGCCTGAGCAAAAGTGGTAGTAGTGGGAACAGAAAGAATATTATGACTTTTGGAGATATTAAGGAGATAGAATCAACAAAACTTAGTGGTTAATTCAAGGTAGGGCCTATGGGTGGGGCAAGAGTCAAGTTGACTCCCAGATTTCTGGCTTTAACAACCAGAGGGAATGGATGGTAGTGCCAGTCATTGGGCTAGACAGCATAAGAGTTAAGATTGATTAGAAGAGTGCTATGGTTTGAATGTGTGACCAAAATTTCATGTGTTGAAAATTTAATCCCCAATGCAACAGTATTAGGAGGTGGAGTCTAATGGGAGATTTAGGTCATGAGGGCTCCACCCTCTTGAATGAATTAGTGCTCTTATGAAAGGGCTTTCAGGAGTGGGCATTCTCTTGCCCTCCCACCTTCTGTCATGTGAGGATACAGCAAGAAGGCCCTCACTGGACCAGATGCCAGCACCTTGATCCTGGACTTCCCAGTCTCGTTATAACTGAGAGAAAATAAACTTCCGTTCTTCATAAATTACCCAGTCTCAGATATTCTGTAATAGCAGCCCCAAATGGATTAAGACAGATGGGAAGAGGATTGGTTCTGCCTTGAACAGGTGAAGTGTGTACCCATGGGACATCTGAGAAGACAGTGAAGTTAGGAGGTCGGTTGGATATACACCTCTGTGTTTCTGGAGAGAAGTGAGCTGGTGACATATGTGGTAAATCATTAGCCTAAAGATGGCATTTGAGGCCAGGCAAGATTGCCCATGGGTACAGAAGAGAAGGGGATCCAGGAGAGGTCCTTAAAGAATGCTGCCATTTAAGTGTGACCCAAGGAAGAGTGTGGAAGGAGGCTATGGAGCATCTAGTGAGGTGAAAAGAAAGCTAGAGAATGTGGTATCCCTGAGGCTAAGAGGGGAGAGCTTTCCTGAAAAGGCCATGTGGCGAATAGTGTCAAATGCTGCAGAGGGTTTGAGGCCCACAAGAATCTCCTGGATTTGGCAATAAGGATTTCTCTCAAAGGAGGAGTTTCAGAGAACAGATGGGGCCAAAAGCCCAACCTGTCCTTAGGCTGCAGAATAAATAGGAGGTGGCCGGGCATAGTGGCTCACGTCCGTAATCCCAGCACTTTGGGAGGCCGAGGTGGGTGGATTACTTGAGGTCAGGAGTTTGAGACCAGCCTAGCCAACATGACGAAATGCCGTCTCTACTAAAAACAAAAACAGAAACAAAAACAAAAAAACAAAAACAAAAATTAGCCAGGCATGGTGGCACGCACCTGTAGTCCTAGCTACTCAGGAGGCTGAGGCAGGAGAATAGCCTGAACCCAGGAGGTGGAGGCTGCAGTGAGCTGAGATCGCGCCACTGCACTCCAGCCTGGGCAACAGAGAGAGTCCCCATTTCAAAGAAAAAAAAAAGAATAAATAGGAGGTGAGGAAAAGAGGACTGTGGGTGCTCTGCCACTTTTTAAAAAAGATTTACTGTGAATCAGAGGCCAGGGATAATTTAAATGGGACTGACTAATGATAGCAGATACTGGGAGTTTTTTGGTTTGGGTTTGACAGGGTCTTGCTTTGTCACTCAGGCTGGCATGTGGTGGCACGATCATGGCTCACTGCAGCCTGTATCTCCCAGGCTCAAACGATCCTGCCACCTCAGCCTCTGGAGTAGCTGGAACCACAGGTGTGTGCCACCACCATGACTAACTAAATTTTTTTTTTTTTGGTAGAGATGGGGTCTCGCTTTGTTGCTCAGGCTGGTCTCAAACTCCTGAGCTCAAGTGATCCTCCCGCCTCAGCCTCCCAAAGTACTGGGATTACAGCCATGAGCCACCATGCCTGGCCTTTTAGATACTGTTGTGGTTAAAAAAAAAAAAATTACTTGCTCCATTTAGAGTATGCTCAATTCATAATTTTTCTACTGAAAAATTATGTCTTGTTATTAGTAGTAGCTACGATTTATAAAGTGTCCACCATAAGCCAGGCACATTATGTACATTATTTTATTTCACTCTTTTTTTTTTTTTTTTTTTTTTTTTTGAGACGGAGTCTCGCTCTTTCACCCAGGCTGGACTGCCCAGACTGGACTGCAGTGGCGCTATCTTGGCTCACTGCAAGCTCCGCCTCCCGGGTTCACGCCATTCTCCTGCCTCAGCCTCCCGAGTAGCTGGGACTATGGGCGCCCGCTACCACACCCGGCTAATTTTTTTTTTTGTATTTTTAGTAGAGACGGGGTTTCACCGTGTTAGCCAGGATGGTCTCGACCTCCTGACCTCGTGATCCACCCGCCTCGGCCTCCCAAGGTGCTGGGATTACAGGCGTGAGCCACCGCGCCCGGCCTAAGCACATTTTCATAACGTATGCATGTGTCTTTTGTGTAATGGGGATGGGATGGGAATGATGGCAAAATCAGCTCTAACCTCTGCAGGGAGATGGCTAGAAATTAGTATGTGCTCTAAATGATGTCAATGCAAACTAAGCCCTCAGTACATTTTACTTTTCCTGCTGCAAAATAACTTCTAGCACAAGAAAGCAAACCTCTTCTAAAAACAAAATCTCCCATTTCCTTGTTTGTAGTTCTAAAGGCCTGGAGACCTGACATCTACACCCTTGGCCAGAGTGTGCCCTATTCCTCAGAAAAAAGAGGGTCACTAGGAAAAACTGAGAACTCTGAATTTAAGGTAGTAATTCTAATGATCAGGGAAATTTTTAAGTGTGCACAAAATAAGTGCTACAAGGATGTTCACTGAAGTATTATTTATAGAGAAAATATGTAAGCAACTGAATACCCAAAGGAAGAGATTTAGTAAATAAATTATGGTAAATCCATATACTGGAATGCCATACAGCCATCATTAATGATGTTTAGAGGAATATTTAAAGATATAGGAAGACAGTCAATATCACTTAATGAAAAATGCAGGTAAAAACAGCATATACTAAATGTTCTATTTTTGTAAAAATACACAGATATAAATGCGTGTGGAGATATATATATTATATATATATGCCTACACTCACACACACACACACACACACACACACACACACAAGAAAGAGCAAGAGCTGTACATGTATATGATAGAAGAAAGGCCAAAAGAATTACCATCAATATGAGTGGTTGTAGTATTATGGGGAATTACTTTTTTTTTCTTTACTTTTGTATTGTCTAAATTTTATTATAGTAAACATACTTTTTTATAAAAGAAAGAAAGTTATTTAAAGTATGACATGGGTTTTATATAATTATATTGCTGTAAATAAATACAAGCAAATACATTTTAAATTTCATTCTATAACTCTGCCTATGATAGACTAAAATTATTTAATTGATTTTTATTTAGCCAAACAAAAAACAACCTGTTCTAAAAGAGTGAGAAATAAGTAACTATATAAGACTAATAGGTAGGGTCGGGTGTGGAGGCTCATGCCTGTAATCTCAGCACTTTGGGAGGCCAAGGTGGGTGGATCACTTGAGGTCAGGTGTTCGAGACCAGCCTGGCCAACATGGTGAAACCCCATCTCTCCTAAAAATACAAAAATTAGCCAGGCGTGGTGGTGCACATTTGTAATCCTAGCTACTCAGGAGGCTGAGGCAGGAGAATTGCTTGAACTCAGAAGGCAGAGGTTGCAGTGAGCCGAGATTATGCCACTGCACTTCAACCTGGGCAACAGAACAAGACTCTGTGTCAAAATAATAATAATAATACTATGTAGTATTTGAGGGAAATTTCTTTTGGGGACAATTTCCTTTCAATCTAATATACAAAGCCAGCAATTTTTAAATTCTAAACACTAGTAGATATGAAATGCATTCATTCACTCATTCACTTGGGGGTACTTACTGAGTTTCTACCATGTAAATACCTGTCCTCGGTTGCTTGGAGGATGAAAGAATGAGCGATGACATGTTCCTTGTACTTGAGGTGCTTGCAGTCTACATGGCAAGAGATCAAATATTCATGAATTATCCAGACAACAAAGCCCTAAAGGTTAGAACTGAGAACGGGGTGTCATAGAAAGCAAATGCCAGTGAGGTGAAGGTTATCAACATTCTACCTCCCTTTAAGGTTCAAAGGTCCCCTCTTCCTAAAGAGGCATCTGTCCCTTAGTGAGCAGTAATTTCTAGAAGTAAGTTATCCTCTCTGCTAGGTGAGGACTCTGGTTAGCATCTATCATGGAACAATCCTTACTGAGAGCCCAAGGGTCCTTTCTTTGTCCTGACCCTTATTTCATTCATCTTGGTTCTGAGTGGACTTTAAAGTCAAGTTTATTTTAGGAATTCCAGGCCATGTTCACCTCCTGAAGGAATGAGGAAGGAGAGGTGTGGGACTGGATAATAACACAGTCCAGATTAACAACTGGTGATGGGTGAGGCAATGTGGAAAGAAGGGCTGCCTGTAGTCTATTGATGAGTAACAGCCACCCCTTATCCTGTCCCTCCCAAGCTGGGGTTTAACAACACTCCATTCTTTTCATCTTTACTTCTGAGGGGAGGATCGTCAATGAGAATATTCACAGTTAAAGTATCGAAACCAACAAGGTACGATGGGGAAAGGGGCTAAACTGGGAGCCCAGAGACCTATCCTAGTCCAAGCCAGTTCTAACTAGCGTCCCTTTGGGCCTCAGTTTCCCCATCTGCCAAATGAAGGGGTTGAACTGTTCAATACTCAAAGCCTATATAGCTCCCTATAAATTAGGAATCACAAACTTCCTGTGATTTTATGTTGGATTTATTCCCCAATCATGAGTCATCAGTCAATCTCTGACCTTGCAAATACAAATTCCTCACCAGTGATGAAAATTAAAGCACTTAATTCTCTTATGAGTAGGTTGTACACTCTGAATGATGTGTACTGTACTGTCTGGGAAGTCGAGGCAAAGGAAATGGCTCTTTAATCCCTCCTGGGATCTAAATGGAAAACAAGACAGGCTGTGACATCAGCTCCCATTTCCTCTGTGATCAGACTAAATAATACAAATATCAATATTAAATTATGCGCGCATACTTTTTATTTTTGCCTTCCACGGCAAATCACAGTGAATCCTTTGCTCTTAGCTTTTAGTTCAAGGTTATGTAGGAAGAACAGGAAAGATGAACACAGAATTACAGCATTTTTAGAAATGTGGGCAACTTTAAAGATTAGACCCAACCTCTAATCATCCCATCATTGAGGAAGAATGAGGGGTCCAAGATATGAAATAGCTCCATCCAATGTTGACTTCCTGAAGCATATTTTCTCAATTTGCCTCACCTAAACCCACTGTCATTGGACAATACCACCACCTACATGCCAAATAAATAAGCACTTTTTTAAAAAGCCAAAAAAGAGAAGCGAATCTCTTTTCATGAGTTTCCTTCATTACAACTAGATGAACCATGCAAGGGGAAAACTGAATTCACCAGGAGGAACGTATCTGAGACAGGAATGGGTCATCCTCCTAGCCTGTAACCAACACCAATTCTTCACTCCAAGATCTAGCTACCCCATATTTCTATCCACTACCTACTTCTGTCTCTACAGGTACGCAAGCACCAGACTTAAGAAAATTGTTATGAAAATAATACTGCCCTTTAACAGGCTAGCCGTTTGCTACCATATCACCTACCGGGTGTAAAGGTGCTGCTTTAGCTGGGCATGGTGGCGCTTGCCTGTATCCCAGCTACTTGGGAGGCTGAGGCAGGAGGATCCCTTGAGCCCAGGAGTTTGAGAATAGCCTGGGCAACATAGCGAGACCCTGTCTCAAAAAATTAATTTAAGAAAGTACTGCTTTAATTTAGGGAATAAAATTCAAATGCTTAAAATCTGTTCTTTTCACCAAGAAACATTATTTTTGGCTAATTTATCCCGTCTTTCATTTCCTATGAAAGTTACTCAAAAGCATCTCTGCAGAGAAAATAAATTGATAGTTTCATATGTGAGCTGTTTTTCTAAATTTTATCAGCATTAGGGGTTGAAGTTACTGGAACCACGTAACAAGAACTCACCCCTTCCCAATCACTTTGCCTCACTATTCGGATGGATGAGATATGCCTTATTTTTACATCCATCCTATCGTGGAACACACACACACACTGACCATTTTGATGTCTGACCATATTTGATGATATTTTCAAAGTCATACACTCCATAACAGAAAGTTCTAGATGACACAATTAAAATTCAAGATGCATAGGTGGTTTTAAAAAATGCATAGACTGTTAGAACTGGAAGAAACTTTCAAAAGCATCTCAATATATGCCTTCCCTTTCCAACTAAACAAATGGAAGAACTGGGTGCAGTGGCTCATGCCTCGGTCAGGAGACTGAGGCAAGAGGATTACTTGAGCCCAGGAGTTTGAGACCAGCCTGGACAACACAGCAATATTCTATTTCTAACAAAATAGAAAAAAATAACCAGGTGTAGTGGCACGTGCCAGTAGTCCCAACTACTCAGGAAGCTAAGGCAGGAGAAGGACTGCTTGAGCCCAGGAGTGTGAGGTTGCAGTGCGCTATGATCACACCACTGCACTCCAACCTGGGCGACAGAGCAAAACTTCATCTCTTAAAAAAGAAAAAAGAAAATTAGCCGAGCGTAGTGGCACACGCCTGTAGTCCCAGCTACTCGGGAGGCTGAGGCAGGAGAATCGCTTGAACCCGGGAGGCAGAGGTTGCAGTGAGCCAAGATCACGCCACTGCACTCCAGCCTGGGCGACAGAGCAAAACTCAGTCTAAAATAAATAAATAAATAAATAAATAAAGAAGAAGAAAGAAATGGAGTTGCAGTGAAATCAGATACTCGTCCCTCATCACACCACTAGTTGGCAGCAGTGCCAGATCTAGAGTCCATGTCTCCAGTGTTCCTGTTCATGTTCTTTCCGCAGTTCTTGCTGCTTTCAACATCACTGCAGGCTTTCTAAACACTCACCAAGGGTTGGCTGGAGGCTATTCCTTGGGAGTCAGCCCCTCCCATTCCAGAGCTGCCTCTGCTATTCCATTGCATGAATTACAGATGCAAAAGGTTGCTAAAGCTGGAATAAGCAGATGAGTTCCCTTTCTTGCCCCAGTGCCTTACATTCTGTCAACCAGAAAGTTGACCGTGCATATAGTTATTAGTTGCTCTCATAGTAAATTATTGTCCTAATTTATCCAAAGTCCATTGTTGCTATGCAATATGCAGTCAAGAAGGAACATTCTGGTTTTGAATTATGTGAGCAATTCAGTCATCTGGCTTGCGTGTAAGAAGTAGATATGGCTAGTTGGCATGCGTAACTTGGGGCAGCAGCCTACTAACTCTGTTTGGATGCTTCTGTGACAGGAAATCTGGTTGCATCAAACTCTTGACTCTAGCGATGTCCATCCATGTGGGCACTAACTGTTAAAGACTAACAGATGAGCAGTAGGGTGCAGGGGAAAGATAATTCAACTTGACATGATAATTATCTGCATTAGAACCCTGCCCGTGCATCACCAGCAGAATGACTAGACTTTAGTGCACTTTAGACTTCAGCTGCGATGTTCCAGATAAAGGGCTTCACACCAAAGCTGGACTTGGTTTCTGAGCCTCTTTCTATTCATCTGTAAAATGCTGATCAGATTTGAACTTGCTTTATACATATTGTGTTACTTGGCTAACAGTATTTTAAAGACCTCTGTGCTTCAATAATCTGTAAAAAGGCCAGGTGCGGTGGCTCATGCCTGTAATCACGGCACTTTTGGGGGCCGAGGTGGGCAGATCACCTGAGATCAGGAGTTTCCAAGACCAGCCTGGCCAACATGGTGAAACCGCGTCTCTACAAAAAATACAAAATTTAGCCAGGCGTGGTGCTGCGCAACCGTAATCCCAGCTACTCAGGAGGCTGAGGCAGGAGAATCACTTGAACCTGGGAAGCAGCGGTTGCAGTGAGCTGAAATTGCGCCACTGCACTCCAGCCTGGGCGGCAGAGCGAGACTCTGTCTCCAAAAAAAAAAAAAAAAAAAAAAAAGTTTCATCTTTGTCTCTTTGTTTTAACTTATGTAAAGTTTCAAACATACTCAAGAAAGACTAGAATAATTAACTAAAATGAAGTACTAGTCACCAGCAGTTTTTAATATTTTGCTGACATCACTTATCTCTCTCAATACTTTTTTCCCCCTCTGAGGTATTTTTAAGCACATTTGGGGGCCAGGCGCGATAGCTCACGCCTGTAATCCCAGCACTTTGGGAGGCCGAGGCGGGAGGATCGCTTGGATCCTGGAACCCAGGAGTTCCAGAACAGTCTCAACCACCACAATTAGCAATAAAAAAATAAATAAAAATTAAAGCACATTTGGGCAAGATGTTTTAAAGATCTCTGTGCTTCAATTGTCTAATCTAGGAAACGAAGATTATAATATCGAATTCACGGGGGACAATTATATTGAATATTCAATAAATGTTAGTTATCACTGTTTACAGTGGTACCTATGTGCACAGCCCCCTCCAGCGCGTAAAAGCACTTTACAGCGCAGCGCTCCAGGCTCAAGATAGATGTTATTGTTGTTGTTATTATTATTATTATTATTATTATTTTGAGACGGAGTCTCGCTCGCTCTGTCGCCCAGGCTGGAGCGCAGTGGCGCGATCTCGGCTAACTGCAACATCCCCCTCCTGGGTTCAAGCGATTTTCCTGCCTCAGCCTCCCGAGTAGCTGGGATTGTAAGCACGCGCCACCGAGCCGGGCTGATTTTTGTATGACAGATGTTATTAAAGACAGCGTGGAGAAACCAGAGCCTGCGTTGCTGAGCTTGCGGCCGCCCGCTTCACACCGCACTTCAGATCAGCTGGGTCAGGACGTGGATTGTCCCGTGCAGGCATCCATCGTCGAGTGTGGCAACGAGAGGGCGGGAACAGGAAGTGAGGATAGGCCGAGTTCCGGGCGCGAGGCGGCCACCGTGGAGAGCAGAGCGCGGCGGCTGGAAGCTGCTAAGTCAGAGCCGCGATGTTCCGGATTGAGGGCCTCGCGCCGAAGCTGGACCCGGAGGAGATGAAACGGAAGATGCGCGAGGATGTGATCTCCTCCATACGGAACTTTCTCATCTACGTGGCCCTCCTGCGAGTCAGTGAGTGTCTCCCGGGCTGTGACTGTGAGACCAGCGGGGAGCTCACCGACGGGCACCCCTTAACTCTAAGGGGTCATCGGGGCCTTCGAACTGAGCTGAACGGTAGCGGGGAGCAAGGAGGGTGCGCGTTGAAGGCGACGGGCATATGCGCGGTTTGAGGTCTGCGGGTCAGGGTCCGGGCACTGAAGTGCACGTGGTGGCCGGCGCGCGTGTTTAATCATCCTGGTTCTCCCAGCTTGAAGAATGTTTGAGCTGCCGGGCGCGTTGGCTCACACCTGTAATCCCACCCAGCACTTTGTGAAGCCGAGGCGGGCGGATCATTTGGGGTCAGGAGTTCGTGGTGGCGGGCGCCTGTAATCCCAGCTCCTCGGGAGGCTAAGGTGGGAGGATTGCTTGAATCCAGGAGGCGGAGGTTGCAGTGAGCCGAGATCGCGACACTGCACTCCAGCTTGAGTGACAGAGCAAGACTCCATCTCAAAAAAAAGAATGTTTGAGCTGAAAGAGCTCAAGTAATTATCCCTAGAGGAACTCCCTCGTTTTTGCAGACAGAGAAACAGAGAAACAGAACCATAGTTCTAGAAGGAAGAAACAGCCTTCTTGGGAAGGCTGGCCAAAGGTCACTCAGCGATTCAGTGAATGATCTTGACCTAAAATCCAGAACTCTTAACTCAGTACCAGGTTCCTTCCCTTTCTTTTCTTTTCTTTTTTTTTTTTTTCCTCGATACACAGTCACGCCCTGTTGCCCAGGCTGGAGTGCAGTGGCGCAGTCTTGGCTCACTGCAACCTCTGCCTCCCGAGTTCAAGCCATTCTCCCACCTCAGCCTCCCAAGTAGCTGAGATTACAGGCGCGCGCCACCACGCCCGGCTAATTTTTGTATTTTTAGTAGAGATGGGTGTTTAACCATGTTGGCCAGGCCGGTCTCGAACTCCTGACCTCAGGTGATCCACCTGCCTCAGCCTCCCAAAGTGCTGGGATTACAGGCGTGAACCAGCGGCCGGGTTCCTTCCCTTTCAAAAGTGCTGACCTTTGAAATCCAAAAAGTTTTGCTTCATTTCTGTTTCTTTGTATAGAGGGTGAAGTGAGTCATTAGTTTTTTGGAAAAAAATGGGAAAAAAGAATATGAGTCTATAGGATTAATGCAAATATTTGAGGTTTTTTTTTCTATATCTTAAAATTGACAGGAAGTTACTCCCATTATATAGTCTTGACAGTGGACCTTTGAGGGAGGCAGGGCCTAAGATTCTTTATATCATTTTACAAATGAGAACTTGATTTTCAGAGGGGACTTAGCAAGGAAGGAAGGTATCAGAGTTATAGGAACACTGAATATAAGAACTGGAAGCAGCTTTATGATCAGTTCTCGAATGCCCTGCCTTCTCGTTCTCAATTCAGTATCCTTTCCATTGTTCCTTGCTGTATATTATTGGCCAGCCAGTCTGGATGGAGCGGCAGGGATGGTTCAAATAAATGAAGGCCATACCAAAGTCATCCTATTGAAGGCTCATGTTGGGCTTAGGCCAGAGCTCACTGATACTGAGATGTCCCTTATTCTGTGTCTCTTTCACTGTCTATGGTATTACTCTGCTTTCACAGAAGAGCGAGTCTTGGGGAACAGAAACACCCGTATCATCCTAGTTCAACAGCTTCTTGCAACTCCCAAATTTACTTATTTCCTGCCTCCTGCCTTTTTCATTGATCTAGCTGCCAGTGAAATATTTGCTGCTTCTCAGTGACCTTTGTATTTGATATGAATTGTTTATTTTCACTTTTAAGTTGAAATATAATTTGTATATTATACAATATACCCATTTAAGGTGTACAATTCAGTGGTTTTTAGCAGTCAGTTGTGCAGCCATCACAATTTGACAGTATTTTCTTTCCCCCTAGAAGAAACACCATACGAATTCATTGTTACCCCATTTCCCCCTTTTCTCCAGCCTTTCACAACGACTAATCTACTTTTTCTCTATGGATTTGTCTAGTCCGGATTTTTTTTTTCTTTTTTTTGAGACGGTCTTGCTCTGTTGCCTAAGCTAGTGTGCAGAGGTGGAGGCTGCAGTGATCATGGCTCACAGCAACCTCGACCTCCCAGGCTCAAGTAAGTGATCCTCCTACTTCAGCCTCCTGAGTAATTGAGACTGCAGGCACACACCACCACGCCCTGCTAATTTTTTATTTTTTGTAGACACGAGGTTTCATTATGCTGCCCAGGTTGGTCTCAAACTATTGGGCTCGATCAATCCTTCTCATTTCCTCCTCCCAACCTGTTGGGATTACAGGTGTGGTCCACCACACCTGGCCCTGGATATTTCATTTAAATGAAATTGTCAAATGCATGGCCTTTTGTGTCTGGCTTATTTCACTTAGCATAACATTTTCAAGATTCATCCATGTTGTAGCATGTGTCAGAACTTCATTTTGATAGCTAAATAAGTTTCTGTTGGAAGGATGTATCACATTTTGCTTATCCATTGATCATTTCATGGATTTTTTTCTGTCGTTAAGAATTAGTAGGAAAAATTGGATATACTGCTGACTTTATCAGCTTCTGACAGATCTCAGTGTCTTCAGTTTAATATTAAGAAATTGAGCTGGGCGCAGTGGCTCATGCCTGTAATTCCAGCACTTTGCGGGGCTGAGGCGGGCAGATTGTTCGAGCTCAGGAGTTCAAGACCAGCCTTGGCAACATGGTGATACCTCGTCTTTTAAAAAAATACAAAAATTAGCCAGGCATAGTGGCATGTGCCTATAGTCCCAACTATTCAGGAGGCTGAAAAAAATAAATAAATAAAATAATGTTAACAAAATTCTATTAGTATGAGTATTGAGAAAGAAGGTGATTTGGGTAGCTTTTTTTTGGTCACAACACTTTTACACAGGACAGTAATATCACTTCTTTAGATCTATATGTCGACACTTAGTTTTCTAGACATTTCTATGTACATGATCTTATTAGACCCTCTTAATGACTGAGGTAGGACTGTATCAGATGTGATCTAGAGTATGTTAAGTGATATATAGCTAATCAGTAAGAGACCCAAAATAGGTGTCCAGCTCTTCCGGTTCTCTAGTTCAGTGTTTTCCCATATCCTCTGCCTTTCAAATGAGTTTTTAAAGGTGAAAAATGCCCATTTGTTTCCTCTAGAGTTTTGTTCCTTTTACAGTTAAAATAAATCGCTAGAGTAAAGCCTTGTCATTTGAAAGAGAATTGGATTTATACTTTATGGCCCTAAGGGGCAAACTATCTGGAGAAAAGGTTTTATGTAGTATAAGAATGAAATTTACAATAATAGCTGAATGACAGTGGAATGGGCTGCTTTGGAAGGCAACTAGTCCCTTTTGCTGGGCTGTACAGGCACATGCTTGACCATCACTTGGAGTTATTTTCAAAAACATGTTGAATAAACCTGATAATTCTATAATGTAGCCTATGGGCTAATAGATTTGAAAACTAATTTTAGATTTGTTTTTCTTTCAGCTCCATTTATCTTAAAGAAATTGGACAGCATATGAAGACAGGACATCACATATGAATGCACGATATGAAGAGCCTGGTTACAGTTTCGACTCCTCTCTGCAAGTGAATAGGCCCAGAAAGGTGTAAGAGACTCTTTGAATGGACATAAAATTCTGCTTGTTAAGAACAAGTTTGGCTCTGGTAACTGACCTTCAAAGCTAAAATATAAAACTATTTGGGAAGTATGAAACGATGTCTCGTGATCTGGTGTACCCTTATCCCTGTGACGTTTGGCCTCTGACAATACTGGTATAATTGTAAATAATGTCAAACTCCGTTTTCTAGCAAGTATTAAGGGAGCTGTGTCTGAAATGGCACTGTCTTGTCAGTCATTTCTGTTTACCTTTTTCTTCTGCCCAGAGTGTATTTGTGAAGAGTCTCTTATATTATGTTTTGTGGAAATCAGCACACAACCACAATGACATTTAAGCACAGGATCATTATTAGTCTATGTTTTTAATAAACATATCAATTAAGAAAAGTTGGGTTTCTATTTTTCTTATCCTACTTTTTGCTGCAAACCAACAATCACTAGTGAGACTTGTATTATATTGAGATTATTGCAAGCTTCAGTAAGTTCATCTTGTTTTGGACTAGAGAATTTGCCAATCCTGATGAAGTGTCATTGTGTTTTATTGCCAGGCAGTCTTAATGAAAGGTAGCATTACTGCTTGATGCTGAGTATATGAAATATTAATACTACCAAAGGAAAAAGTACTATATTTTTAAGCCAAATAGTTCTCCAAGTTTGTTGAGTGGAGGGGGGATAGTCCTTAACCTTCTCCCCAGGAGCAACTACATACACCTCTTTTTAGCTGATTTTATTGGTATTTACCTTTTGGTCTCTAAATAATGTGACGGTCGTGATTGGGATTTAGGTCTCTTTCCTGTCCTTAGCGCCATCACTCACACGTATCTTGTCATCTCTTCCTTCCAAAGGATAACGTAGTGTGATCTTGAGTAGATTAGTATCATTAGGATTCTGAGTATAGTACCTGGTTTTCTTTTGCTGTGTATCTTTTTGTTTTTTTCTAGGCTTGGTTTTTCTATGGAATTTCCACTAAATCAACTAAACTTTTTGCCATTTATCTAAATCATTCACAGCAATCAGCTTTATTAGGTACTCTGTTTCATTTTCCTGAGTAAGCGTTTCCTGGAGTCTTCTGACCCGCCCCTGACTGGACTGATAGCCTTCTATGCCTGATGTGTGTGGCTATATTCTGGGAACTCCCTTCTCTATGCCTGATATGTGACTGTATTCTGGGAACTCCCTTCACTATTGTCCGGGAATTCCTTTTCTTCTCTCTTATTATATCTCGTTTTCTGTTACCTAGTGTCTTGGTTTACTCCCTTGTTTGATGGAGCCTGTTTTCTCTGGCAGTGTCCTCCTGAGAAAGGTGGCATAGGAGGTGAATGACCTTGCTGGTCTAAAAATGTCTTTTTTTTTTTTTTTTTTTTTTTTTTTAACACGGAGTCTTGCTCTGTCAACTAGGCTAGAGTGCAGTGGCATGATCTTGGCTCACTGCAACCTCCACCTCCCAGTTCAAGCGATTTTCCTGCCTTAGCCTCCCAAGTAGCTGGGATTACAGGCACGTGCCACCACGCCTGGCTAATTTTTGTATTTTTAGTAGAGACAGGGTTTTGCCATGTTGGCCAGGCTGGTCTCGAACTCCTGACCTCAGGTAATCTGCCCACCTCAGCCTCCCAAAGTGCTGGGATTATAGGCATGAGCCACTGTGCCTGGCCTTAAAAATGTCTTTATTCTATAGTTTGATGAATATAGGGTTCTAGATTAGCAATCATTTTCCTTCAGAATTTTAAAGCAAAGCCTCTAGCTTTCAGTGTTGCTGCTGAGAAATCTGAAATCATTCTGATTCCTGATTTTTTTGTGGGACTAAGTATTTCTTCCTGAGAAACAAGGATCTTTGTTCCTAGTATGCTTATATTCCATGATGACATCATTTAGTGTGTGTTTATTTTAATACACTGTGGTGGGCACTTGGTGAACCTATTTAAACTTGAAACTTGTATCTTTATTTCTCAAATTTTGTAGGTTTTAAAATAATTTTATTATTTTTTATGGGTATGTAAGTGTATATATTTATGGGGTGCATGAGATATTTTGATACAGGCATACAGTACCTAATAATCACATCAGGATAACGGGATTATCTGTCACCTCATTTATAATTTATTTATGTTACAAACATTCCAGTTATACTTTTAGTTATTTTTAGATGTACAGTAAATTATTATTGACTGTAATCACCCATTATGCTATCAAATACTAGAACTTATTCATTACATCTAACTATATTTTTGTACCCATTAGCCATCCCTGCATTCCTTCCCTAACCTTTCCTAGCCTCTGGTAACCATCATTCTACTCTGTCTCCATGAGTTCAGTCGTATTAATTTGTAGCATCCACCAATGAATGCTTATAGGTTTTTATTGATTTCCTCCCCTTCTTTTTCCTTCTGCTCTCTTTTTAGAACAATAGTACTTTTAATGTTTTCTTTTTCCTTTATATTCTATTTTATCTGTAATTGCTTTTCTCTTTTTTTGTTTCATGTTAGATGCTTTCCTTGGTTGTCTGCTCACACTTAAAAATTGGGAACTAACATGGATTAAAGGCCTGGAGTGGAGCTTGTTGATGTTGAACTTTGCCAAAGGGCCATCTATTGGGCCATTTTTGTTGAGAAAACTTTTTGCGTCTGTATCTTTAGTTATTTCCCATTGAGCTGGTCATTGCTCAGAGAACAAAGACTCTTCCAATCTCCCAAGTGCTGAATGAGGCCCTGCCAACGTTCTGGGATTCAAAGGAATAGGGCTGTGGTGAGGCTCAGGACAGACAGGTGTGTGTGTGTGTGTTTCAATATCCAGTATGTATTTGCTCACTGCGTCTCTGTTTTGAGTATAGTACCTCTGCCCAAACTGCCTGGCATCCCATAATCTAGAGACCTTCTATTTTACCCTTTTCAGAAAATAAACTTTTTATTTTTTGGAGACAGAGTTTTGCTCCAGGCTGGAGTGCAGTGGACGATCTTGGCTCGCTGCAACCTCTGCCTCCCTGACTCAAACGGTTCTTGTGCCTTAGCCACCTGAGTAGCTGGGATTACAGGCGCACACCACCAT